>NT_187546.1:0-131892 GCF_000001405.40 Homo sapiens
TCCCCTTCCCTCAGCCTCTGGCAACCACTATTCTACTTTCTGTTTCTATGAATTAGACTATTCTAGAAATCTCATATAAGTGGAATTATACAGCATTTCTGTTTTTGTAACTGGTTTATTTCACTTTGCAAAATGTGTTCAAAGTTCAAACTCATGTTGTAGCATGTGTCAGAATTTCTTTTTAAAGCTGAATAATATTCTATTATATGTATTTATCACATCTTGTTTACCCATTCATCTGTCACTGAACACTTGGATTTCTTCCATCTTTTCCCTATTGTGAATAATGCTGCTGTGAACATGGGTATATGGCGATCTCCTTGAGACCCTGCTTTTCAATTCTTTTTGGGTCTATACCCCAAAACAGAATTGCTTTATCATATGGTAATTCTATTTTTAACTTTTTGGGAAACTGCCATACTGTTTTCCAATGTGACTTCACCATTTTCCATTCCCACCAATAGTGCACAATGGTTTCAATTTCTACACACCCTTGCCAACACTTTTTATTTTCTGCTCATTTTTTAAATAGTAGCCATCATAATGGGTATGAAGTAGCATCTCATTATCATTTCAATTTTAATTTTTGCTTTTTTTTTTTTTTTTTGAGACAGGGTCTCTCTCCCGTTGCCCAGGCTGGAGTGCAGTGGCACAATCATAGCTCACCGCAGCCTTGACTTCCCAGGCTCAGGTGCTTTTCCTACCTCAGCCTCCTGAGTAGCTGGACTTCAGGCACGCACCACCCCACCCAGCTAATTTTTGTATTTTTGGTAGAGACCGGGTTTTACCCTGTTGCCCAGGCTGGTCTTGAACTCCTGGGCTCAAGCCATCCTCTCACTTCGGCCTCCCAAAGTACTGAGATTGTAGGTATGAGCCACCATGCCTGGCCTGATTTGCATTTTCCTAATGATTAGTGATTGTTCTAACAGTTTTTGTTTGTTTGTTTGTTTGTTTTTTAGTGGACTCTTCAGGGTTTCCTACATTAAATGTGTAATCTGAGAAGAGAGATAATTTTATGTGTTTTTTTTTCCAATTTAGATGCTTTTTATTTCTTTTTCTTACCTGCTTGCTCCAGTTAGGACTTCCAGTACTATGTTGAATAGAAGTGGCAAAAGCAGGCATCTTTATTCTTGTTTGTGATCCTAGACCTTTTGGTCTTTAACCATTTAACATGTTAGCTGTAAGCTTTACATATATGGCCTTTATTATATTGAGGTAGTTCTCTTTTATTTCTAGTTTGCTGGGTACTTTTTATCATGAAAATATGTTGAATTTTGTCAAACGTTCTTTCTGAATCAATTGAGATGATCATGTGGTTTTGTGTTTAATTCTATTTATGTGGAGAAATGCATTTTTTTTTTCGAGATGGGAGTCTCACTCTGTGACTCAGGCTGGAGTGCACTGGCGCGATCTCAATTCACTGCAACCTCCATCTCCTGGATTCAGATTCTCGTGCCTCAGCCTCTCGAGTAGCTGGGATTACAGGTGCCCGCCATCACTCCCGGCTAATTTTTGTGTTTTTAGTAGAGACAGGGTTTCACCATGTTGGCCAGGCTGGTCTCAAACTCCTGACCTCAGGTGATCCGCCCACCTTGGCCTCCCAAAGCGTTGGGATTACAGGCATGAGCCACTGCACCTGGCCGCATTCATTGTTTTTTGTATGTTAAATCATCCTTGCATTCCAGAAATAAATCCCACTTGGTCGTGGTATGTAGTAATTTTAAAGCATTGTTGAATTCTGTTGGCTAGTATTTTGTTAAGGATTTTCACTTCAGTGTTTACCAGGGATACTGGTCTGTGTGGTTTTCTTTTCTTGTAGTGTATTTGTTTGGCTTTTATATTAGGGTAATGCTGGCCTTATAGAATAAGTGGGGGGTGTCCTCTCTTCAGTCTTTTTAACAGTTTAGGAGGATTGCTGTTAATTTTTCTATAAATGTTTGGTAGAATTTACTAGTGAAACCATCTTATTCTAGGGTTTTGTTTTTTTTTTTTTTGGTTGTTGTTGAAAGGTTTTTGGCTATAGATTCAATCTCCTTATTAATTGTAGTCTATTCCAGTTTTCTGTTTCTCCAGATTCACTCTTGGTAGATTGTGTATTTCTAGGATTTTATTCATTTCATCTAGTTATCTAATTTTTCATCATATAGGTATTCACATTACTAGCTTATGATCCTTTTTATTTCTGTAAAAGCAGCAGCAATATCTCCTTTCATTTCTGATTTTAGTTATTTGAGACTTCTCTCTTATTTTCTTAGTCAGTTGGCAGTTTTGCTGATCTTATGGAAGAACCAACTCTTGTTTTTTAATTTTAAAAGTTGTTTTCTATTCTCTATTTTGTTGATCTTTGCTCAAATCTTCATTATTTCTTTTCCTCTGCGAGGTTTCAGTTTCATTTTTTATTTTTCTAGTTCCTTAAGGTGTAAAGTTACATTGTTGATTTGGGTTCTTATTTGGTATGCAAGCAATTACAGCTGTAAATTTCCTTTTTAGTACTATGTTTGCTGCATCCCACACATTTTGGTACATTTGTTTTTATTTTCATTTGTCTGAAGATATTTTCTAATTTCCCTTGTGATTTTTTTCTTTTGACCCATTGTTATTTGAGAGTGTATTGTTTTGTTCTCTCTTTTGTTTTCTTTAGAGATGAGCTCTTGCTCCATCATCCAAGTTGGAGTGCAGTGGCATGATCAAAGCTCACTGCAGCCTCAAATGCCTGGGCTCAAGTGATCCTTCCACTTCAGCCTCCTGAGTATCTGGGATTAAGGAATGTGTTGTTTAATTTTCATGTATTTGTGGATTTTTCAGCACAACTTTTGCTATTGGTTTCTTTCCATTGTGATTGGAAACAATATTTTGTATGATTTTAATCTTTTAAAATTCATTAAGACTTGTTTTGTGGCCTAACACATCCTCTATCCTGGAGAATGTTTCATAATGCACTTTAAAAAAAGTATATTCTATTGTTAGGTGGATTGTGTTGTTTATGTCTGTTAGGGCCATTTCGTCTATAGTGTTGTTCAAGTTCTTGTATTTCCTTATTGATCTTCTGTCTAGTTGTTCTATCCGTTATTGAAAGGGTAGTACTGAAGTCTCCTACTATTTTTTCAAGTTGTCTATTTCTGTCTTCAATTCTGTCAATGTTTGCTATGTATATTTAGGCTCTAATATTTATTGCATAAATGTTTTTAATTGTTATATCTTCTTGGTGAATTGACCCTTTCACCATTATATAATATTCTCCTGTTTCTTGTAACAGTTTTATTTTTACTTAGTGTCTATTTTTAGGCTGGGAGTGGTGGCTCACGCCTGTAATCCCACACTTTGGGAGGCCAAGGCAGGTGGATCACCTGAGGTCAAGAGTTCGAGACCAACCTGGCCAACATGGCAAAACCCCTTCTCTACTAAAAAATACAAAAAAAAACTTAGCTGGGTGTGGTGGCACGCACCCATAGTCCCAGCTGCTTGGGAGGCTGAGACACGAGAATTGCTTGAACCTGGGAGGTGGAAGTTGCAGTGAGCCGAGATCACGCCACTGCACTCCAGTCTGGATGACAGAGTGAGACTCCATCTTAATTTAAAAAAGAAAAAAAAGTCTATTTTTTTCCCTCTGTGTTTCTCTCTGTCTCTCTCTTTTCTTTCTGGAATTCCAATAGCTTATAACTTGGTCCACTTGATGTTGTTCCATATGCTCCCTAGGCTCTGTTCACTTTTCTTCATTGTTTTTTTCTTTTTGCTTCTCAGACTTGATAATTTCAAATGATGTTTCTTCAAGTTCACTGATTCTTCTGCCCATTCAATTCTGATTTTGAACCCCTCTAGTTAATTTTCCAATTCAGTTAGCTTATTTTTCAACTCTAGGATGTCTGTATGGTTCTTTTTAAAAATAATTTGTCTCTTTGCTGATATCCTATTTTGTTCATGTATTGTTTTCCTGCTTCCTTTAATTCAGTGTCTCATTGAGTATATTTAATAAAGACCATTGTTTTAAAGTCTTTGTTTAGTAAGCCTGAAACCTGTGTTTCTTTAGAGTTGGTTTTTGGAGATTTATTTTGTTGACTTTGATCAGGCCGTATTTTCCTGTTTCTTTGTGTGCCTTGTGATTTTAAGAAGGCGTTTGAAAAAACAGCCACCTGTCCTAAGGGACCTAAAATCTCCCCTTTCTACCTATGCAGTGCTCCACTCTGCTGGTTTGTGCTGCTCTGTCTTGGTATTCCCCCAAATATTTTAAATTATTTTTTTCATTTTCATGTAATTTTTTATTTTTTGAAATGGAGTCTCACTCTGTCACCCAGGCTGGAGTGCAGTGGCACGATCTCGGCTTACTGCAACCTCCGCCTTTTGGGTTCAAGCAATTCTCCTGCCTCAGCCTCCTAGTAGCTGGAACTATATGCATGTACCACCACGCCTGGCTAATTTTTGTATTTTTAGTAGAGATGGGGTTTCACTATATTGGCCAGGCTGGTCTCGAACTCCTGATCTCAGGTGATCTGCCTGCCTCAGCCTCCCAAAATGCTGGGATTACAGGCATGAACCACCATACCCGGCCTATTCTTTTCATTTTCATACAGAGCAACTCAACTCTCCCATGACCATACCCAATCTAAACACTTAAACCCATCTTTATATGGAGAATCGGTGAGGCCTCTGTTTTGCATATCCAAACACTTAAGGGAGCAGTAGGAATTCTGTAGAGCAATATTTTTTGTTTGTTTTGAATTACATCTATGGATATTTCCTCTATAAATGGTTTCCTAATTTTTCCCTTTTTAGTTTTTTCACCAAAATTCTTATTGGCCTCTCAATAACTCTTATTGTTGTTGTTGTCAAGACAGAGTCTTGTTCTGTCCTCCAACCTGGAGTGCAGTGGCATGATCTCGACTCACTGCAACCTCCATCTCCTGGATTCATTCGATTCTCTTGCCTCAGCCTCCTGAGTAGCTGGGACTACAGTTGTGCATCACCATGCCCAGCTAATTTTTGTATTTTTAGTAGAGACAGGGTTTCACCATGTTGGCCAGGGTGGTCTCAAAATCCTTACATCAGGTGGTCTACCCGCCTCAGCCTCCAAGGTGCTGGGATTACAGGTGTGAGCCACCACACCAGCTTAAATAATTCTTAAAATTAGTAATTTTTGGTAAAATTTTTAAATATATTTTGTATAAGTTTATATCTAGGTATTTTATCATATAAACATTTAAATATATGAATATATATTTATATTTTAAAATCACATATATATGACTAAAGCAGAACATATATATATCTGCTTTAGTTCTGAATATTAGTCTGGTATATAATTAAGTTGTAACATTATCAGCTTTGTGATATAAAATTTTAAGCTGCTGAAATGAAACTCTATCCTTTCTTTAGTTTGATTTCTTCACTTACCTGATAATTCTAATTATCTTCCAGTTGTTCTGCTTCTCTGGCTGAACCCTGACGGATACATACCCATATGTTGAGGCTTTGCCAGAGGTGACAAGTCTGTTTTCTTTTACAACATCAGCTTCTCTAAAGTCCTCTGACCCCCAAAGGACTTATACTTCAAGACTCCCCTACTCTTCTTTCACTGTAAGATTTTTCCCCTGTCCCTCTACACATCCTGTCATCTCTGGCATTACTATTTATGGCCTGATTCTGCCTTGAATGACCCTGAAGTCCCCAAGACTCACATGTGTAAAAAATTTCTTAGTTTGATTTTGATCAGCTCCTAAGAGAGAATTTCTAGGTGAGAGAAGGAACTGTAAAAACGGTCCATCAACTGCATTCTTCAAAAATGTTGATGTCATAATAGGCACAGAAATGCTGGGGAACCTTTATAGATTCAAGGAGACTAAGGACATATAATAACTAAATATAGTATGAGGTTCTAGACTGGAACATGTACTGAAAGAAAAGAATGCTATAAAGAACATTTCTGGCTAAATTGACACAAATGAAATACAGACAGTAGATTAAATAAAATTCCATGTTTCTGTTCAATTTACCAACATCGATAACTATACTGGGGGTAGGAAACAGAACATCCTATTTCTTAGGAAATACTGAAATATTTAGGGGTAAAGGGTAAGATGTATGCAACTTACAATGTGATAGGTCTTGGATTTGTGTCCCTGAGAAAATTTCCAATTGTAAACCCCAGTGTTGGAGGAGGGGCCTGGTGAGAGGTGACTGGATCATCGGAGCGAATTTCCCCCTTGCTGTTCTCGTTACAGTGACTGAGTTCTTATGACATCTGGCTGTTTAAAAGTATGTGGCACCTCCCTGTCTCTCTGTTTCCTGAGACCTGCCCAGCCATGCTTCCTGTACAGCCTATGGAACCACGAGCCAATTAAACCTCTTTTTTTTTTTTTTTTTTTTTTTTTTTTTGAGACAGCTTTTTGCTCTGTAGCCCAGGCTGGAGTGCAGTGGTGCAATCTAGGCTCACTGCAAGCTCCGCCTCCCGGGTTCACACCATTCTCCTGCCTCAGCCTTCCAAGTAGCTGGGACTACAGGCGCCCGCCACCACGCCCGGCTAATTTGATTATATTTTAAGTAGAGACGAGGTTTCACCATCTTGGCCAGGCTGGTCTTGAACTCCTGACCTCGTGATCCACCCGCCTTGACCTCCCAAAGTGCTGGAATTACAGGTGTGAGCCACCGTGCCTGGCCCAATTAAACCTCTTTTCTTTATAAATTACCCAGTCTCAGGTAGTTCCCTATAGCAATGTGAGAACGGACTAATGCACAATTGCCAAATGTTTAGACAAAAGAGTAGTAACGTAGATATATGTAGAGAAAGCAAATGGAGGCTGGGCACAGTGACTCAGGCCTGTAATCTCAGCACTTTGGGAGGCCAAGGCGGGTGAGGCCAGGAGTTTGAGACCAGCCTGGCCAACATGGAGAAACTCCATCTCTACAAAACATACAAAAAATTAGCGGGTGTGGGGGTGCACGCCTGTAATCCCAGCTACTCAGGTGGCTGAGACATGAGAATCGCTTGAACCTGGGAAGCGGAGGTTGCAGTAAGCCAAGATCGCGCCACTGCACTCCAGCCTGGGTGACAGAGTAAGACTGTGTCTCAAAAAAATAAATAAATAAAAATAAAACTAAAAAAAGAAAAAAAGTGGAACAAAATGCTACAATTCGGTGAATCTGTGTCACAGGAATAGCAGTGCTTTTTACTATTCTTGCAACTTTTCTGTAAATTTGAATTTTTCCAAATAAAAAGTTTTAAAAAATGGCCCATGACTCTGTTCCCCTCAATTTTATCTCCCCTTTGAGAGACTCTGACTTTAGTCTCAACATTGCCCCCAGATGTGTGCTAGTCCAACTTGAAATGTTATACCAGTTTCTGTCTCAGGCAAGAGCAGTCGGATATACTTATCACAACTGAGTTTCTAACATCCATGTATACAGAATATAGAAAAGGAACACAAGGGGAAATTAAGTAAAAAACATACATTACAGGCCGGGCGCGGTGGCTCATGCCTGTAATCCCAGCACTTTGGGAGGCAGAGACGGGTGGATCACCTGACATCAGGAGTTCGAGACCAGCCTGGCCAGCATAGCGAAACCCCATCTCAACCAAAAATACAAAAAATTAGCCAGGCATGGTGGCGGTGCTTGTAATCCCAGCTACTCGGGAGACTGAGGCAGAAGACTTGGTTGAACCTGGGAGGCGGAAGTTGCAGTGAGCCAAGATCGCACTGCACTCCAGCCTGGGCAATAGGAGCAAAACTTCATCTCAAAAAAAAATTAAAAAATAAAAAATATACATTACATACAAAAATACAAAATGAATGCAGAAATACAAAGAATCACATTTACGTGATTTCAGATACTGAGAATCAGAGTGTAGATTTTAGAGTCAGTAACATCTGAGTTCTAACCTTTGCTCTGTCACATGATAGTCATGTGACCTGGACCAGGACATTTTACCTCTTTCTACTTCAGTTTTTGTATCTTGGTAGGGACTTGTAAATCCTCAGTGTATGCAGCAAAAAAAAAAAAAAAAAAAAAAATACAAAATACAGGGAAAATGTAGGAAAAATATCTAAATATATATATATATGAAGATTCCTGAAAAAGAGGGGTAAGGAAGAAAACTAGACACCAAATAGTTTCCTACTCCAAGATTTTAGAGACTTCAGTGGTATTCTTGGAGTCTGAAAAGCTTTGTAGTTTCCAAGAATTTCTGGTTGCAATGGGGTAGGGAAAAGATTGGGGAAAGAGAGGGACCTTATTTCCTACGGTCCTTCTGAGAGCCATATGCTTTATATGTGTACTCATTTAGTACCTAGGACCTTCTGACACTTTCTTATGTTGCTGGTGGAAGTATAAATTATTAAACCTCTTCATAGGTGTTTTGGCAATATATATCCAAATAAAAAAGTGCAGATGTGTACAATGAAGGTTGTATAGGGATATTCACTGCAATATTGTTCTAATATTGTTCTAAAAGCAAATTCATGAAGGGATCAGTTGAATATTATATATTCATATAAAGACTGCCACCATTGAGAAGAATGAGACGTCTGCATTTTCTGACAAGAAATGATTTCCTATACATATTTACCATAGGAAGCAAGTTGTGTAAGGAATGCTACCTTTTTGGCAGTGTGTTGGGAGAGGTTATGCACACACCTATCTACCTTGCCCAGGTGCTTACTTACACTGTCTCTGGAAGGCCACACAAGAAATTTAACTTTTTCAGAAGAGAAGTTTGGGGACACAGGATGGAGGGAAGCTTTTCAATCTATTCCCTTTTATACATTTTACATTTGTTACCAAGTGCACGTGTTGCCTTTTAAAAATTGGGTTTTTAAACACATTTACCACTACTACTCACCACCAAAACCTTCCCCCCTCAGCTCTTCTCCAGGGCCTTGACTGGCGCTGGCAGCTCACCACCCCTTTTTTCTCCAGCAAGAAGCCACTGGTTTAAGGGAGATATGAGAGGTGGGGTGGATACGCAGGTGGACATTTACTTTTCACTCTATATCTTTTATTTTTATATTTACAATCATGTGCATGTAATACTGTTACAGGAAAAGGGTCCCAATCCAGACCCCAGGAGTGGGTTCTTGGATCTCACTCAGGAAAGAATTCAGGGCAAGTCCGCAGTGCAAAGTGAAAGCAAGTTTATTAAGAAAGTAAAGGGAATAAAAGAATGGCCACTCCATAGACAGAGCAGCCCCGAGGGCCGCTGGTTGCGCATTTTTATGGTTTTTCCTGATGATATGCTAAACAAGTGGTGGATTATTCATGCCTCCCTTTTTTAGACCGTATAGGGTAACTTCCTGACGTTGCCATGGCATTTACAAACTGTCCTGGCACTGGTGGGAGTGTAGAGGTGAGGATGACCAGAGGTCACTCTCATCGCCATTTTGGTTTTGGTGGGTTTTGGCCGGTTCCTTTACTGCAACCTGTTTTATCATCAAGGTCTTTATGACCTGTATTTTGTGCTGACCTCCTATTTCATCCTGTGATTAGAATGCCTTAACAGTCTGGGAATGCAGCCCAGTAGGTTTAAGCCTCATTTCACCCAGTTCCTATTTAAGATAGAGTTGCTCTGGTTCACACGCCTCTGCCATTACCTTTTAAAAACAAAAAATCCATTTTTATTTAAAAAAAAAAACAAAACCTCCAGACCCCTTCTTAACACCTCTTCCCTCACTCCACACCCGCTAGCCCTTTTCATGGGACAAGCTCACCAGCTGGTCCTTCTCCAGCAAAAAGACCAGAGCTTTCTGCTCTTAAGGGAGGGGACTAGGGATTAGGGAACAACCCCAGAAGAAAGGTGATGAGTTAACTGTTTAGAAGGTTAGTGTTGGTTCTTTTATTCGATTAAACAGGAATACACATATATCTACCAAAGAATAGGTAAGGGAGAAATAAGAACACTAAAAAAACTCGGAATCGTTAAGTGTGAAGCATATTTGGAGTTAAAAGAACCAAATATTACTAAGTAAGCAGACGCGGGCACGCGCTGCATACCGGGATTTGTAGTCCCTTCCGGGGCGGGGTACAGCGCGCCTGCGCAGAGGGGCCGTCCCTCTTCCGGGCGCATGCGTGCGGCAGCGGCGCCAGGACTGACTGCGCCGTGGAGGCTGCTGCAGTGTTGTGAGTTGGAAGCTGGGGAGCTCGGCATGGCGGTCCCCGCTGCAGCCATGGGGCCCTCGGCGTTGGGCCAGAGCGGTCCCGGCTCGATGGCCCCGTGGTGCTCAGTGAGCAGCGGCCCGTCGCGCTACGTGCTTGGGATGCAGGAGCTGTTCCGGGGCCACAGCAAGACGCGCGAGTTCTGGCGCACAGCGCCAAGGTGCACTCGGTGGCCTGGAGTTGCGACGGGCGTCGCCTAGCCTCGGGGTCCTTCGACAAGACGGCCAGCGTCTTCTTGCTGGAGAAGGACCGGTTGGTGAGCTGCCGGGGCTCGGCTCAGGCTAGGGAGAGGGGCCGTGGTGAAGTGAGGTGCGGTAGTGGGAGAGCGAATGGGGGCGAACGGAGCCGCGGGGGTGAAAGGAGAGTGGGTTTGAGGGAAGGGGAAAGGGGGAGTGTGGAGATGAGGAGGGAGTAGGGAGAAGGTGGAGTGTGGGGGTGACGGGGTCGTGAGGGGTGAGGAGAGGAAGACTGGGGGCGTGTGAAGAGTGTGGAAGTAAGGAGGTTGGCGATGGCGGGTGAAGGTGAGGAGAGGGTGGATGGGACAGGGCTGCGATGGGAGCCTTACTCGTTTGGAGTCGAATCCTGTGCTGATAAGAAGTGGCTAGGGGCTGTGGTGGTGGTGGTGGTGGTGGTGGTGGTACGTTGGTGGTACGTTGGTGGTACGTTGGTGGTAGAGTAAGGGTGGAAAACCAGGAAGGAGGAGAAGGCCAGGGAGGGCACAAAAGTAAGGGCATAGGTGTGGAAGCTGAGAAAAACAGTTCAGAAGGCCTGCGGAGAAGAGAAGGGAGAAAGGGCTTGGAGGAACTGGATTCTGAATTACCCAGATCTTTACTGGTCCCAGCATACTTTGGTTTGAATAAGCTTATAAAGTTACATGCGGAGGCAGTTACATCTATGTGAAGTCACATCTGGATTCTGTTCTTTCAGGTCAAAGAAAACAATTATCGGGGACATGGGGATAGTGTGGACCAGCTTTGTTGGCATCCAAGTAATCCTGACCTATTTGTTACGGCGTCCGGAGATAAAACCATTCGCATCTGGGATGTGAGGACTACAAAATGCATTGCCACTGTGAACACTAAAGGTGACTATTCAGAGAGAGGGCAATAGGAAGATAAGCTGTTTGGATTCATTCAACAACCATTTTCCGAATATCTTTTCTGTGCCTGGCACTCAGCTGTGTATGAGACATCCTGAGCTGAATAAGAGTTTCCAGCTCCAAGGACCTCCCCTGCGGGGAGAAGACATATATATACAAATAACATAGCAAGATATGGTTCATTTTATAATGGAGAGGTCTGCAAGGTGGATACCCAGAATAGAAATGAAAACAAAAGTCTGCCTAGGGGAGCCAGGGAAGGCCTCACCAAATTTGAGCAAACTTTTAGGGTAGCCATAGGAGTTGAGTGGTCAGGGTGCTGTGGGTGGGGAATGGGACATTTCCAGGAGGGAACAGCATGTGCAAAGGCATGGAGAATTTGGAAAATTCTGATGAGTTAGAATGGTTGAAACTTGGATGGTCTTGGTGATCTGGGAGAAAGTTGTGCAGTACATTTATAGGCTCTGTTGTAAGTATTGAGGCCGGTATTGTATGGGACTCTGAGTTTTCATTGATCGTAAGATGTTCCATTAGGAAAGAAAGTTGGTAAATAACTGTGATACACCCAAAATTTTGAAATGCTTTCTGATACATTTTAAGATACAGTGTAGATACTAAAATGTGAGAAAATATGCGTTTTAGAATGGAAAAAGTTGGTGAAATTTTTAATTGATGTGTTCAGTGTGGGCCACTGGACTTTGTTGACAAGACTTATCTCTGGAGGCGGAATGGTGTGGTTTTTCCCCAAGTATACAGCTGCTGATCCATGAGTGATTCAGGTGATGCGTGGGTGAACATTAAAAACCAGTTTTGCAAATATCTTAATGTCTACTAGAAGAACTAGCACATAGAATTTATTATTCAGTTGAAGCTAAATTTATTTTATTTTTATTTATTTTATTTTATTTTTATTTTTGAGACAGGGTCTTGCCCTGTTACCCAGGATGGAGTACAGTGGCATAATATTGGCTCCCTGCAGCCTCCACCTGGGCTCAAGCCATCCTCCCACCTCAACCTCCTGAGTAGCTGGGACTACAGGCACATGCCACCATGCCTGGCTAATTTTTTGTAGAGACGGGTTTTGCCATATTGCCCAGGCTGATCTTGAACTCCTGGACTCAAGTGATCTGCCTACCTTGGCCTCCCAGAGTGCTGGAATTACAGGCTTGAGCCTCCACAGCTGGCTGCTAAATTTATTTAAGTAAACTTTTTTGAATCAATTTTAAGAAAAATCTTGAATAAAGAAAAGTATAGTGTTTAATGGATAGGACAAAAATTGTGATGTTGGCATGCGAATGGCTGGAGTTGAGAAATGCTGGTGTAAGAGAAAAGGGGGCTTTGGGGTCAAATCTGGGTTTAAAATCTTGGCTCGGCCGGGCACGGTGGCTCACACCTGTAATCCCAGCACTTTGGGAGGCCAAGGCGGGCGGATCACGAGGTCAGGAGATCGAGACCATCCTGGCTAACACGGTGAAACCCCGTCTCTACTAAAAATACAAAAAAATTAGCCTGGTGTGGTGGCAGGCGCCTGTAGTCCCAGCTGCTCGGGAGGCTGAGGCGAGAGAATGGCGTGAACCCAGGAGGTGGAGCTTGCAGTGAGCCGAGATCGCGCCACTTCATAGCTCTTTGACTTCATAGCTTTGACACTTTGGCTTGTCGTCTTATCTCCTATTTCCTTCATCTATAAAATCTTATAGATTTTATAAATGGAGATAATAAAGTGTATGTTAGAGGAGTATTGTGAAGACCAAATGGGGAAATGTGTAGATGAAAGTTCTGGACTTATTGTTGAATCGTAAGTGGTAGCTCCCTTCCATTGTCTAGGACTTTAATGAGTAAGCCCGGAAGAAAGCTCTGGTCTTCTTTCTAGGATAGTGCAATAAACTTGTAGAGGATTATGAGCAAACAGATTATCTTGCTGATTATGTCTGGGTTCCCAGGGGAGAACATTAATATCTGCTGGAGTCCTGATGGGCAGACCATTGCTGTAGGCAACAAGGATGATGTGGTGACCTTTATTGATGCCAAGACACACCGTTCCAAAGCAGAAGAGCAGTTCAAGTTCGAGGTCAACGAAATCTCCTGGAACAATGACAATAATATGTTCTTCCTGACAAATGGCAATGGTTGTATCAACATCCTCAGGTGAGGGGGTCTAGCTTAGGGGACTGTCATGTCTTTGTGCTGGGTGCTGTGTCAGATATGGAGATGAATTAGATGTGAGCCTATCCTGAAGGAGCTTAAAACACAAATAGTAAGAGAGAATCCTAACCTGTCTTAAGTACATTTGAGCTGTATATTTTATATACTTTATATTTTACTGAGTCCTTACAGAAATTCTAGGGGTTGATGATTTGCTTCTCATTTGACAGATGAGGATCTGAGGGTGAGAGGTTACATCAGTAGTCAGCTAGTGTGTGCTAGAACTGGATGCACCTTGAATTATGGCTAATTCATACTCCCTTTTTTTTTGTTTTTCGAGACAGAGTTTTGCTCTTGTTGCCCAGGCTGCAGTGCAATGGTGTGATCTTGGCTCACCGCAACCTCTGCCTCCGGGGTTAAGCGATTCTCCTGCCTCAGCCTCCCAAGTAGCTGGGATTAGAGGCATGTGCCACCACACCTGGCTAATTTTGTATTTTTTGTAGTTTAGGGTTTCTCCATGTTGGTCAGGCTGGTCTCCAACTCCCAACCTCAGGTGATTAGCCCGACCTCTGGCTAATTCGTACTCTTAAAGTTTCAACTGAAATATCACTTTGCCTTCAGGGAAGCTCCCCCGCTACCCCAAGGTTAGAGGTAGGTTAGAGGCGTATTTTATATACTTTCTGTAGGAAGCACTTTTCTTTCTATATTGTAATTGCATGTTTATTTGCCTGTGTCTCCTGTTAGACTGTGAATTCCTTGATGGTAGGGATGGTGTTTGCCTTGTTTAGTGTTGAATCCCTAATGTCTAGTCCTGTACCTGCTCCACGTAGTAGGATCTTAGTAAATATTTGTTCTGTAAATGAATGAAACTGTGGAGCTGAAATTCAGGTCTGTTCAATTCTAGCCTTCCACTATCCCAGGTGAACAATGCAAGACCAAGTGAGATAGGTTCTGTGAGTGGGAGGCCAGGAGTTTGCTGTGAAATTCCATGGAAAGAACAGACATACTATATGGGGGGTTGAAGGAGGGAGCTTGTGAGCTTGATCTTGAAAGATGAGCAGAATTTTAAGAATAAGCAAAAGGGAACCACATAACTGACAAAGCAGGTGTGAGTGAGCATGACTTACTTGGAGAGTGGTTAGGTCAGGGTTGTTGGGGGAGTGGTGGCAGATAAGGGAAATAAGAGAGGGCATGATAATGGGAAGATGAAGTCTAATTTGGGACCAGATTATAAAAGGCCTTTATTTTATGCTTAGTATCTTGGGTTTTATTTTGTAGGCAATGGGGATTCTATAACTTTTTAAGAAAAATCTTTTTATTATAAAACACAGATATTGAAAACCACATAAAATAAATGTATAGCTTAATGAACTCTTATAGGCTTAACTCTTGTGCAACCCCGCCCAAGTTGAGAAGTAGTTCTTTCCAGCCATCCCAGAAGTCCATCCAGGTGTTTTGTCCTAATTACAACTTCCTTCCACAAAAGCAAACACTATCCTGACTTTTATAGTGTTTCTTCATAGTTTATCTACCACATGTGCAGCCCCTAGATACCCTAGTTTTGCTCATTAAAAAAAAAAAAAAATTGATATGTGTTTTGTATCTCTTAAATTACTCAAAAGAAACTTCCGAAAACGTAGCTGTTGAAAAACCAGACTGTTAACCTGTGGAGATTCTCCCAGTTTGGCTTTTGCTGATTCCATATGCTGTTTATGTGTTGGACTGTTGTGTAAAGAGATGCTGCTTCTCATCTGCGATGTGGTTACCCAGTAGTGTAGTTCATGTAGGGAAGGCAGGATAAAATTTTGATTCTGTTTGTCAGATAATGATTTTGTTTCCTGCTACCTCCAAAGATGAGCAGTTAGGTGTTTTTTTTTTTAAAGAATCATTACGGGCTGATGTTTTTAAACATAGTTGGTGTGTTTCCATCTCTTGTAATTGTTATGCCTGTTGAAGCTCAAATTATCCCATCTTTGGCCAATAAGAACCTCTTCAAGTTGGTTCCTGAGACCTTTTTTGACATAATCCCATCGTCTTCTGTTTTTTTGCTCTCTGGTTTGATAAGATGTTCCAAGTTCATCTTGTGCATTTCTTGCCCCAGACCTTTAATCAGAACATTCTCCAAGAAGCCTTAACATTCTGGCTGGGTGCGGTGGCTCACGCCTGTAATCCCAGCACTTTGGCACTTTGGGAGGCCGAGGCGAGTGGATCACTTGAGACCTGGCAATCATAGAGAAACCCTGTCTCTACTCAAAATACAAAAATTATCTGGGCGTGGTGACGCACGTGTATATTCCCAGCTGCTTGGCAGACTGAGGCAGGAGAATCGCTTGAACCCGGGAGGCGGAGGTTGTAGTAAGTTTAGATTGCACCACTGCACTCCAGCATTCTGGGCGACTGAGTGAGATTCCACCTCAAAAAAAAAAAAAAAAAAAAAAGGAGCCTTACATTCTTTTACTGAGAAATGATACTGAAGTTAGGAATGTTCATTACTGCTGGGTTGGCCTAGGAATTACGTGTGTGTGTGTGTGTGTGTGTGTGTGTATATATTTAAAGATAAAATACCTTATGAATTCACATTGATAACTTGCAATCAAAATTGAGGACTCCAGGGATTTTACTAAACCTCTTCTATATTACAAATATATTTCTTTCCTCCCAAATTGAGTATTCTGGTTCTCAAGGGCACAGGGGATCATAGAATTAGAATATCCGATGGTTACTTATTACCTATCTCCCATGGTAAACATATAGATGTCTCAGAACAACAATATTACTGCTGCTACCACCAATGTGATGACTTGAAACAAAAAATGTTTTTGGTTTTTGCATATGCTCTTTCCATTCTTCCCCCATTAAAAAAATAGTACTATATGTTGTAAGCATGTGCACATGTTACATATTATACCCTCTCTTTAAACCATGTATAGTTTTTGCAAGAAACTGTATATTCAGTGTTCAGCACCAGTCCTTATAAGTCTCTAGTCATTTTTTTAATTGAAGCTCATTCTCTAGTTAAGATTCCTCGGGAAGCGTTCATGGGAACATTATTCCTGGAGTTTTTATTACAACTTATTTACGTAATTCTAAAACTTACAGATTTTATAAAACGTTATTGTGCTTATTGTTTGTATCATTATATTTGAAATTCAGTTTTGCTGGATGTAAAAATCCTTGGCTCGTTTTCTCGCTTGTGTATCTTTCTTAAATATGGTACTCCATTTTCTTTTGGCATTAAGTGTTGTTGTCAGAAAGCCCAATAATCTAATTTTCTTTTTCTTTAAAGTCCACTAATTTTGCTAGTCTCTGTCTCGATGTTGGTAACTTTGGTTCTGTAGTCTCAGGTATGTGTTGTGCTTTTTAAATAATGTAGTTCAAAATCTTTTTTTATTTCAGGAATGTTATCTTGAATGACAGTTCTTGGTGGTGGTCTATTATCTTTGCTTTTCTTCTTCATCATCTCCTATTATTGTTTTAGCACCACAGTCCTCTTCTGCAGTTTGATCGCTGTCTTTTTTCTCAGCTACCCAGAACTGAAGCCTGTGCAGTCCATCAACGCCCATCCTTCCAACTGCATCTGTATCAAGTTTGACCCCATGGGGAAGTACTTTGCCACAGGAAGTGCAGATGCTTTGGTCAGCCTCTGGGATGTGGATGAGTTAGTGTGTGTTCGGTGCTTTTCCAGGTAAGTGACTCTATCAGCACTTCCCTTGTTGGGTACATTAATTTTATTTCATCGTGAGTGACATTGTTCCCTCCTCTTACTTGGTAATTCTCTTGTCTCTTCTGTCCACTCTGTATCATAGGCTGGATTGGCCTGTAAGAACCCTCAGTTTCAGCCATGATGGGAAAATGCTGGCGTCAGCATCGGAAGATCATTTTATTGACATTGCTGAAGTGGAGACAGGTAACTTCATGAGAATCTACCGTCTTTCACCTTTGGCAGTCAGGACTTCTCTTGTGATCTCATCTCTGCATGTGACTACTTCACCAGCATGATCATGAATGAATTTGTCTCCTTTAGACAAGTATGTTTCTGTTTTGACTGTCACTGCCAGGTGGTGAGGAAGCAAAGAGTTAAGAAATAAACAGGCAGGTCTGAGGAAGGTGATTTAGAAAAATATTTTGATTTATTTAAACTTTAAACTACAGAGTAGAAGGAAGAAAAAAGCACCACTTGGGGTCCCACTCTCTAAATACCACCTGTTTTAAATGTTGTGATATATTTCTCTTTATCTTTTGCCTGTATATGAACTTGAAAAAATATTATTTAAAATTTGAGGAATTATAAAGTTTTTGCTTTAAAAACAACAGAAGCTGGAAATAGAAAAATGGGAGGAGAGTATTCATTTTGCAAAAGAATTTCCTCAGATTTGTTTTTTAATGTTGCTTTATTGTTTTTGGAAATCTGTGACACTCTTCGTAAAAAGATTAAAACTGTATAGAAAACTTCGAAGAGGAAAGTAAAGAACTTGAAATTCCACTATGTAAAGAATGCTCCTGTTAGTCACGTTGTGGTGAACATTGTCCAGCATCCAGCCATGCAGATCCTTCATGTAACTGCATGTCCCTGTGACGCGGAGACACTTTCCTGCTCAGTGACCTGCTCTTGAGTTAACCCACCTGTGCTCAGAACCGGCTCTGTCCTCCGCTGGCTTGTGGGCTCTCTGTGCCTGGGGGTTCTCTGTAAAATGAGGTAATAGTTGTATCTATCTCATGGGATTAGTAGGTGGATTAAACCAGTTAATACAGGTAAGTACTTAATGAATGTGTCCTTCGTTTTGAACGTATTGATTGGTTTCTCTCTATTGTTTTCTATAGGGGACAAACTATGGGAGGTACAGTGTGAGTCTCCGACCTTCACAGTGGCATGGCACCCCAAAAGGCCTCTGCTGGCATTTGCCTGTGATGACAAAGACGGCAAATATGACAGCAGCCGGGAAGCCGGAACTGTGAAGCTGTTTGGGCTTCCTAATGATTCTTGAGAGGAGGTTGTAGGGAGAGGAGGCCCCGGCAGAGGTCTTCCTTCATGTGGTTAGTTTGGTCTGTTCTCTCGGAGTTGGTGGGCACCCTAAATATTTGTAAGTTGGTATAAATTGTAAACGTCTCTGGTCAGGCTGCGCATTTCGTTCTTTTGCTTTGTCTGTGTATTAGCTCTTTCCATTCTTTGCCCCCAGCATGAGTTAACTCGCGTGGACTCTGCAGTGCGAGTAGTGACCCCAGCATACCTTGTCCTCTGGACCTCCTGTCTTCTCTGCTTCTGGGTGCATGGTAGACTTTGTGGCATTTGATACAACTTGGACAATACCTAGTTTGGAGGGAGGGGAATGGAAGGGCATGGAAGTTTTTTTAAATAATTAAAAAAATATATATATAATTTTGAGAATTGAGCATTTAATAAACTGACTTTTGTTATTATGGAACTTCTAAGACTTTTAAAATTATTATGTCCTTGAGTTGCAGTTTTGTATTTTTTTTTTTTTAATTTCAGAAAGAGAATTTAAATGTTATAATTCTGTCATTTAATGTCCCAACCAAGAAGCCTCTGAAATATAGGGACAAAGCTAATTGAATGACCGAACTAAAATTTTGACTCTGAGCTTCCTGGTGGCAAAGTGAAGAGGGGAGTAAGTCAGTTAGCTTTCTTATTGAAAAGAAAAACACTTATTGGTTCCTCATGGAAAGCAAAGCTTTATTAGTTCTTCCCTCTAAAAAAAAGGGCTTATGTTTGGGGGGTTGTTACCTAAGAGCAGTGGTTTTTCATTATATTGTAATTTTGTTTGGTGTTAAAGCAAATATTGAGGCATATAGAAATAGTGTTGGTAGAAAATTTTGGAAAAAGATAAGCAAAAAGAAAAATTACATTCCTAGCACCAAGAGGTAACTGCTATTAGAATTTTGATGTATATCCTTCCAGAAGTTTTCTCGTGTCCATGTTTATGTATAAAAACATGTTTATCTTCATACATGAAGGGTAGACAAACCAAGTATGGCAAGATAAGTTAGGCAAGGTGCACAGCACCATGTTGGGGAGTATTATAAACACTCAACAAGTCTTAATAGACATTTGTAGTTACTGGGCATTCACTACATGCCTGCTACTATAAGGAACACTTTTATCAGCTGTTACTCAGTGTTTGCAGCAGCCTTCTGAGGTGGGTGTTATCACCATTTTACTACCTCAGGGAGTTTAAGTAACTCAGTGTTACTCATCAAGTGACTGTATTCAGATGTAGGTTTGTTTAAAGGCCCATGTGCCTTTGCTTGTAATGGGCTACTCTGTTTCTGCAAGTATTGCCATTCCCGCTTCACAGATGAATAAACCATGGCCATGAGAAGTCAACTGTTGGCCCATATTAGTGAGTGATGTGTTGAGCAGGTGCAGTAGTGTGCACAGTAGTGTTTGCAGTAGCGTTTCTCACCTTCCCTGATGAAGGGTCTTTTCAGTTGCAAACCAACTTGCCACCTCAGCGGCAGAAGTTGAGTGTTGTTCGTGTCACCGTGAGTAAATTTGATGCATTATTTCTTGTTTTTGCAACCATCTGTCATTCCTGTGGTCTCTGCCATGTTTATATATTCCCTCTAGAACTGGTACCAGATGCTGAGGGTTTGGGCTACATCTTAATATTTGATTGATTCCCTCTTCCATCCTTGTGGATTTTTTTCTCCTCTGGGTTTATGTAAATTAGTGATCCACACGACCTGTCACTTAAACAAGAGGAAACTTTGCATTTAACTGGTGGGACACTTGTAGCAACAGGAGAACACACATCCATGAGCAAGGAGTCCCAGTGTGTGTGAGTTTTTGCAGACTCTCAAGGTCTTGATGACACCATCTCTGTGCCTTGGCTTTGAAGTACTGGAGGAGTTCAAAGGTGGGTCCATCCTGGGGAAATGACATGTCTCAGACCCGGGGCCCCTTTGGTTTGAGTGCATTTTCTAGTTCTGCAGAGCTGGAAGGATGCCATTCAGAGTCACAGCTGGCCATTTATTATTTGGTCTGTCGAGGCATTTTCTGCAGTTGCTACTACACACATCAGCAAGTCAGGAGTGAGTGGGGAGGTCAGCTACAAGCTAGATTTTAGTTGGCAGCGAGAGTCTAGGATTTGCTGCACTTGTTCACACACACACTTACTCATCATGTGCCCAAACAGACTGCAGTATCCACATACCAATGACCCACTGTTGTGTTGGCTGGAATGACAAGTCAGACTGATAGGTAGTGAAGTTTGTAGTATCATCTCTTTTGCTGAGATCCTGGTATTTGGATGGCGTGAGATCCAGAGTAGGATGAGCCATGCCACATGGGAAGCTTGTGAAGTGTATGTGCCATGTTGTTCCCCACACCTTAACCTGTGTGGGTGGGAGGCTGAGCAGCTGGAGTCCTGGGAGAGGGTCCTGTGTGGGGATGGGAGGCTGGTGCAGGGAGTCCTGACCAGAGGCAGGTGGATCCAAGGAAGGGGCTAAGCCCAGAGCAGGCTCCTAGGAGGTCTTGCAGGGGCGGGGGGTGTAGGGTCTGGGGGAGGGAAGACAGAGAGAATCTGGTTGGGGTGCGATGTGATGTGTGGGTTGGCTCAGTTGAGAGTGGCCAGGAATGGGGTAGAAATGTCCTTGAGCCCTTTCCTGTTTGAAAGATGTATTCTGCTCCCTAAGGGTTTTAGTTACACAAAGGACCATGAAATGTTTTCCTGCTTTGGAAGGAAAAAAGCCCATAGACAGATGTAAAAGGTAATTCCTCTCTTCAGGAAGAGAGTAGAGGTTGAACAGAGTGTGTTGCGGACTCAGAGATACCCAGATGTAGGTGAGGCGTTGCGTTCTTTTCTCTCTCTGACGCTGTGGTGCGGTGGAGATAACACTGGCTTCATAACTTGGGCAGAATCAGATTTGAAGCTGGCTCCAGCAGTGGTTTATCTGAACCCACTTTGCTCATCCATTAAGTGGAGACAATGAATCCCCTTCTTGGGTCGTTAGGAAGATTAAACAAGATACAGCCTGTACGGTGTCTAGCACAGCACCTGGCACAAGGGAGGTGCTTAATAAGCCTTCCCCTTGCTTGAGGTGGAGGAGCTCCTAGCGAGAGCATGGAGACCTGTCACTGGTCTGTCATCCTTCTCAGCTCCAGTGCCGCCACCAAGCGAGCAACGTTCATCATTCCAGAGTGAGTGCTGTGAAGGGAGGATATGGATCCATCACACCCCGGGCGCAGTGGGAGGTTCAGAGGAGAAATATGAGATCTGCTTTCCGTTTGCAGTCAGTTTGGGCTCATGATGGATAAGTGTGTGTGTGTGTGAACAAGTGGAGCATAACTCAGACTGCACAGCAGCGGGTGAAGGAGGAGGGGGGCAAAGCTCCTGTTAACTGAGGCTGCTGGGAAAGGGTCGTATGGGGAGGGGGTGGCCTCAGTGCAGGCCTTGGGTAGAGCAGAGGTGAGTGCAGGACAGGGGACAGGTGGGGGGGCGTTGCTGCAGCTTGGAGCCAAGCCAAGGTGTGGCCGTCAGTGTCCTGGACGTGAAGATGGTCAGGGGCAGTAGGAGATGTCGCTGGAGGGAAGAGGGAGGGAGGGGTGTCTGGTTCTGAGTGGTTTCAGTTTGGACTGGCTGGTAGTGTGGCTGGGTGAGTAGGTAAGAGACGGATATACCTGGGTTCAGATCCTTTCCTGCCATTGCTAACAGGGAGACTTTAGCCAAATTACTTCACCTCCATGATTTTGCTTGTCTTTAAGATGTGCCTGATGGTAATGTGACTTAGGAGGGTTCAATGAGTTGCTGTGTGTAAATGCCTGGCACACTGTGGGCGTGCAGGAAACAGCAGCTCTTGTTACCTAGGTGCTAATACCATACGTGTGTGCTGTATAACCTCCCTACCTTAGGAAGGGGTTTTCAGTGTCCCCTGGGCTCATCACATTGTCTAAAAGGGAGGGATATAGCGTTGTAAAGAAGATACTGTAGCCTTGAAAAGAGGATGGGATTTGGAGAAAATGAATATTTGACAATTATTTTTTATCACCCATTTGTAGAGCTAAGGCCATTTAACTTTCAGGAACACTAAACTGGAAACTATTCAGCCAATATTTATACAGATTTACTAACAGTTTACATGTTTGGGATGGTTAGTGATGCAGAGCCATAAGTTGTTGAATTTTAAGACATCCGGCAAGAGGCATAAGTCGTTCAATTTTAAGACCTCTAGCATCTCACTCTTTTACGACTTAGAAGAAGCAGACCTGCTTGTGAAAACATGCCCACCTGACCAGCAGCGTCAGTGACAGAGTCACCGGGTACAACTTGCCCGCTGTCAGGGACCACTGGGGCACCATAGATCTACCAAGAACAAGTTGATAAATTTACATTTCCTGTTACCTTCCTGATAAGGTTACTGGAATACAGGTCAGGGAATGGTGCAGATGCAGCAAGGAATCTGTCCAGTCATCTCGGGATGTCCTTGAGGACCAAAGGAAATCTGGGCTGGCACAGGTTGATTTGTAGCTGGTCATCAACTGTACCCCCAAGGGGGATTACAGTCAGCTTCGAGAATAGCTGCTCTCCTGAAGTATCACAGTTGAGTTCAGGTTGAGGGTGATCAGGCCTGTGATTGTTTATTGAACGTTTATGATGGGCTGTGTCTCCTCCAAAATGACGGCCAAAGTGCTTTGCTCAACACATAGGAGGCCCTCTCACGCTCTGTTGGGTTGACCACAAATTGAACTCATCTGGCTAGGACTGTACAAGGGAGAGGGATAAACCAGACCACTGTACCTTGGACCTACTGTACGGGTAAAAACTGGTTCAAGGAGGTTAGAGAACTTGTCCAGGGTCAAACGGTCTGTATATGAGTTTGAAGCCCATGTTCCTTTCATCCCAGCTGTTTAAGTTTAGCCTAGTCTAGATGTGGCTTAACAGTAACACAGATGTAGAGGCTTAGGGTCTTAGGAGTTTGACCATCAACATGGGATTCACCTGGTTCTTTGTGGGAAAGATGTCACACTGCTGATGGGCAGAAGCCAGGGGACAGAGAAGCTTTAGCTTGGAGACCTGGAAACAACACATTCAGGGGAAGAGGGTTCATTTATTCAGCCAGTCACTCAACCCCTCTCCTGTGCCAGGCCTGACTGGAACACTGAGGGTACAGAGGTGAAGGTCCCACAGCCTGGTGTGCAGATGGTGACAATTCATGTGAGTGGTTTCATTAAAAAGCAAGACAGATCCCACCTCTCCCTTGCCTAGAACACTCCATTGGCTCTCACTCCACCTTCCTCAGATCTGATCTTCCCAGGCTGCTTTCTCAGCATTTAGGTCTTAATTTAGAAGCAGTCCTCTCTAACCTGAATGTTAATGTAGCCTCCCTTTGCCCCATTGCTGGATCTCTTCCCACCGACTTTAATTTTATTCAGCGTGCTTATCATGGGAAGCTACTCCTGTTTGCTTCCTTTGTGGCTGTCTCCCCAGGTAAACTGCCAGATGTTCTAGCAATTTTGCCTGACATGTTCATTGCCGTACCCCACATCTCCAGCACCGTGCCTGGTAGTACTCAGCAGGTGTTCAATAAATAGCCATTAAGTAAACGAATGCACGAGAAAGGAGTTACCAATCTGGGCAGAATGACAAGCAGGCGGTTAGTCCTTGCTTGGTGGGGAGGAGGCAAGAAGGTGGGATCTCAGCATGGTAGGTGCTGTAATCCCCAGTTCACAGGGTGGGAAGCAGGTTGTGTTTCCTTGCTCCAGTGACTCAGCTGTGAGGCAGAGAAGCAGGATCTATACATTTGTGTGCAGCTTCAAAGCCCAGGTCTTCCAGGAGGTCAATTTTCTTGATCCTGGCTATATACTGGAACCACCTGATGTTCATTCTCCATGCCAAGCAAGCTCCCCAGGGGATTCTAACAGGATGGAGAACCACCATCCTAGGCCCTGGTGCTTCTCTGATCTGTGGAAAGGTGAGTGTTGTCACAGAAATGGCACAACAGTGCCTGGGAGTGGAGGGAGAAGGCTTCCTGAAGAAGGCACTGGGGTTTGTCTTAGAAGGGTGGGTAGGAATCTGCTGGGCAGCTCTTGGAGAAGGTTTGAGGCAGAGGGGCTGGTGTCTGCAAAGGCGTGGAGACATGCACCATCCTGGTCTGGTGTGGACAAGGAGCAGGGCAGCGGGGCAGGCAGGGTGAGGATGGACTCCTTGAACAGTCTTGCACTGAGGAGAGTGTTGACTGACATATTTGGACTCTTCTACCTTGTCTGTCATGGTCTAATGCATGTCTTTTCTGGGTGTGGTTTCTTTTCTTTTTTTTTTTTTTTTCTTTTTTCGAGACTGAGTCTCACCCAGGCTGGAGTGCAGTGGCGTGATCTTGGCTCACTGCAACCTCCACCTCCCGGGTTCAAGCGATTCTCCTGCCTCAGCCTCCCGAGTAGCTGGGACCACAGGTGTGTGCCAATACACCCAGCTAATTTGTGTATTTTTTAGTAGAGATGAGGTTTCAGCATGTTGGCCAGGCTGGTCTCAAACTCCTGACCTCAGATGATCTGCCTGCCTTGGCCTCCCACGTGCTGGGATTACAGGCGTGAGCCACGCGCCCAGCAGGATGTGGTTTCTTGAGGATCCTTTCAGGGCTTTGGCCTCTCCCAGCTCCTATCCCACTACTATTAGGGTCACAGAGGAGGAGGTCAAGACTGGGATTTACCCATGAAGGCTCTTTGGATGAAATCAGCTGGATATTGGCTGGGTCACTTTGTTAAAGACCAGAACCTGGGGTGGGAAGCCTGTGCCTGTTTGGATGTCAGAGCCCACAGCCATGGGCCCCTGGCCCAGCTTCCTAACCA
Organism: Homo sapiens; assembly: GCF_000001405.40. NCBI lineage: Eukaryota > Metazoa > Chordata > Mammalia > Primates > Hominidae > Homo > Homo sapiens. Next base: position 25,185 of record NT_187546.1, read on the forward strand.
GTTTGGCCCTATTTGCCTTGGAAGCACTTGGGCTGTGGGGTCAAATGGTCCCACGCGCTGATCTTGGCCTTGGCGCTTGCTGGCTGCATGAACATGAGTACATCTTGTCACCTGTCCCAGTTTCAGTCTCTCTATTCTGGGCAGAAGGATTTTCTCACCAACAAGGACTAAGTACCCTCCTGTAGGCTCAGGACTAGGGCAGAGCTTGTACACGATAGAGGAGATGCTCGATCGGGTTCTCTCTCCAAGTCCTGCTTCTCATGGATTTAAGGGGCTGTGGAGGGCCTGACTGCTGTGCTGAGTTAGGCCCGGGGCCTGCCAGTGGAGTTCTAAGGCCTTTAAAGAGTTTGAGTTGTGTTTTAGGAAGACCACCTGGGGCAGTGTGGAAATGTCATGATTGAGGGAGAGAGTTTCTTGAAGCAACTCCGTCTAGTGCAGAGCTTCTCAAGCTAGGGTGCATCTAAGTATCTGGAGGAGCTGTTAAAGCACGTGTTGCTAGATCCCACTCTGAGAGTTTTATTTTTGTTTGTTTGTTTTTTGAGACAGAGTCTTGCTCTTGTTGCTTAGGCAGGAGTGCAATCGTGCGATCTCGGTTCACTGCAACCTCAGCCTTCCTGGGTTCAAGCAATTCTCCTGCTTCAGCCTCCCCAGTAGCTGGGATTACAGGTGCCTGCCACCATGTCCGGCTAATTTTTATTTTTTCTTTTTGTATTTTTAGTAGAGATGGGGTTTCACCATGTTGGCCAGGCTGGTCTCATACTCCTGGCCTCGTGATCTGCCCACCTCGGCCTCCCAAAGTGCTGGGATTACAGGTGTGAGCCCAGCTGAGAGTTTGATTTTCTAACATTCTCAGGGGTCGCTGTTGCTGCTGCCGCTAATGTTGGTAAAGTGGTTAGTCAGATAGATACAGGGCCCTTGCCCAGGGTTTAAACCCTTGCTGGGTTTCAACTTTAGATCTTCTACTTGTAGCTAGCTATGTGGCCTTGGCCAGGTCCTCTAACCTGTGTGAGCCTTAGTTTCCTCATCTGTAAATTGGAATGCTACCTACTTCCTAGGATGTTGTAAGAATCCCATGATTTAACGTGTATAATCCCTCAGCACAGTGCCTGTGGTCAGCATTTAATAGAGGATCGTTTTATTATTTTATTAATACCAGTGAGGAGGCTGTTGCTGAAGTCCAAGGGAGAGATGAAAGAGAGGCTGAACGAGGCTCGTGGCTGAGGGATGGAGGGCATCTGTTTTCTCAGTGGCTCAAAGCCTATGATCCTCCCTCATAGGAGAACACGTTGCTTCCTTCCACAGCGGGAACTTGCTGAAAACCTGTCGGCTGGTGCCTGTGTGTCCTCTAGAGGGCAGTGGAGTCAAGGCTGAGGATGGAGCATTGTGTGCCCTCGGTTGGGGCTGGTCTGTGCGTTCAGCCTTTATTCCCTGTTCTGAAACCCAATTGTGTATTTGCATTGGACTGTCCCCTCCTCCTTGCTCTGTGTACTTGCTGACGCTTTTTGGAAAACACATCACAGGGCACCTCTGATTTCCTGCTTGTCTTGTAGCCTGGGATTAGCAGTAGCTGAAGCGTGCTGCTTTCTGGCAGTTGTGTTTATTTCTCAAGGGCACAGGCTGTACAGATCATGGGGGCCTGCTCCCTGCAGCTCAGCTGAGCCTAGGATGAACCACAGTTGCTCTTATGCCAGTTAAAAACTTGGGGCCTGTTCCATCTTGCATTTCCTCCCCCGCTTCCCAGTCCTCGCCCGCACCCTTTGATCCTGTGAGTGGAGAAATGAAGAGAACTCCAAATCCTTAATCCATTTTGAAGGCCGGCTGGCAGCAGGGCTTTCTGTGGGCCTGGTAAGCAGCCCTAGTTGAATCATTTTAGAGAAGGGCAGGTATTCTTTCAAGGTTATAGAAAGAAAGAAAAAAAAAAAAAACCAGAAGCACATTTATAATATTGGACAGTATACCTTGTCCCAAGCCCTGTACATTTGCTTTATTCCATAATAATAATAAAAGGTACTAGTGACAGCAGCGTCCGCTCACTGATTGTGTGGTAGGAGCCAGGTACTATGCTAAGTGATTTTCATGTGTTAACTCTTCTAAGCCCGGTAACTGCCCGTGAGATTATTAATCCTGCAGAAACTGAGGCTCAGGGAGGTCCCAGTAACACACATCGGGCCAAAGAATGGTGCTATTAGAAATTCAGACCAGTGTGTCTGACTCCAGTTTGCTAAAAACCTGCCTGCTGTCCAAGCTCCAGAATCACTGGGCATGGTCGATTCCATTTTTAGCCCAGCTCTTTCCAAAAGACATTAGGCATTAGACAGGAGAAGGCCATGGTTTTTACAAAGCAGTCTGTTTAGTATTCATGATCCTATAGCATAAGATTCAGTTAAGAGCAGGGATTCAGAGCCAGATTGCCTGGGTTCAAGTCCTGGCTCTGCCACTTACCATCTTTGCAACCTTGGGCAAATTCTTTGATGTCTGAGCCTTAGTTTTTTCATTTGTAAAATGGGGGATAATGGTAGCCACCTCATTGGTTTTCTCTGAGGGTTAAATGAGTTAATATATGTAAAGTGCTTAGATTAGTGCTGGGCACTAAGTAATACCTCAGTAGATGGTAGCTATTGTCATCATCATCATTATTCTTAACCATTATGCTGTATTCACCCATATATTCTCAGTGCCTGACTTATATTAGGGGTTGGTGAATATTGAATAAAATGATCCTTTGGATTCAGATTTTTTTTTTTTTTTTTGAGTTGGCGGGTGCCAGGAGCTAGCTTGATATAAAAATGAATCAATGTTAGACCCTTTCCTCAGGACTTCTCAGTCTGGTTGGAGAGGCCAGGCATGTGTGTGAATTACTGTAAAAGGCAGAAACATACCATGGAGGTCCTGATGTGGGTGAAAGCACTTTTGGACTGGGGTGCAGGCCATGGGCCAGCTTCAGAGGAGGTGGCTTTGGAATTAGGCCTTGAAAGGTGGAAGGAGGAGGAGGGGAAGAGTGGGTTAGACTAGAGAATTCAGGCTTCTCTTGGGCCTCATATACCAATAAGTTCACAAATGAACATTGAGTCAGATTGGGTTTTTATTCATTCAGCAAATATTCATCGAGGATGGTTGGAATCAGGCACTGAGACATCGTGATGGCTTTGAACTAGGCCCTGCCCTCAAGTGCCCTGGGTCTAATGGGACAACAGCCAAGGAAACAAGTGATGGTTATTCAGTGTGATGAGGGGCAGTATTGACTTGGAGCCTCTCAGATGTGGGTGAGAGGCACCCGAGTCAGACTGGTTTAAGCAGAAAGGAAATTCACACTGGCTCATTTACCTGGAATATATTCAAGTGTGGCTGGATTCGGGGGTCTCAAAATATGTCTTTAGGAAACTGCTTGCCTCTTTCCCCTGCTTTTCTCTGTGTTGGCTTCACTCTTTGGCAGATTGTCCCTTTGCAGTGTCACAGGTGGCCTCCGGCAGCTCCTGGCTTCCAAGTCACCAGCTCAGGGAACCCCAGCAGAAGGAGGATGCCTCTTGATCAGTAGTTTCCTCTGGAGTTGTGGAATTGAATATCACAGGACACTGTCAGTCATATGCATCCACCATGGCTGCAGGGATTGCCTGCCCACCCCTGCGAGGAGTACAGAGATACAGGGCATATTAGTTTTGCCCAAATCACATGAGCTGAGGTGGGTGGTGGGGGGAGGGAACTGTTATTTCACAAAGAAAATTCAGATGCTGTCACCAGGCAAAACCCACAGATGTCCACTACAGCTACCACCATGGAACAGAATAATTCACCCATTAAGCACCTGGCTTGGGACTCCAGTTCCCAGGGATGGAATCCCAGCTCCACCATTTACAAGTTGTGTGACTGTGGCTGGGTCACTTCACCTGTCAGCCTGAGTCTCAGTGTCCCATCTGCACAATAGGAGTGATGGCCCACACTGCCAGCTTGAATCAACGTGAAAGCACCTTGCAAAGAGTCCAGGCAGGCTCAGGCAGGCGGCACTGCAGTTTGGGGTGGCATGAACTATGATGTCTCTGGCATGTTATCCGACCAGTTCCAGGGCAGCTGTCTGCAGAAAGCAGCCGGTCGTAGCACAAAGAGTCAGGCTGTCCTGGGTTCAAAGCCTGAACCTCCCACTTACAAGCTACATGTTCCTTCATGATAATCACCTTTCCTGCCTCCCAGGGTTGTTGGAAGTGTCAAGGGGACATGTAGACAGCCTGGCACACTTTGTTCTGGGAGTGGTGATAGCTGTGTTCATAGTACAATTGCTACTCCACAGCATGCCAGGAGTCCAGGTGTGAATCTAACGGGACAGACCCCATACTCTGTGAACAAAAGCCCATCTTTCTGGATAAAGGGTACATTTGGCCAGCAGCCAAGGGCCCTGGGAAGGCTTTGTGCAGCCCGGCCCTTCCCTCCTTCCATTCAGCGAGAGGTGGGTACAGCCTCACGGAGGTTCATGTTTCACTATTAATTACCCCCCAGGCTCTTTTATCAGCCTGTCTCTCATTCCCACCACAAGGCTGTCAGCCAGACAGTTGGAACAGAATCTCATTTGGAGTGTGTTTGCTCTTCTCCCCCATTGCTGGCAGAGATCTGGGATCAGCTCTGCATTAGGACAAGTTGTAAGTAAACACACATTTGCTCAAATGTGGCCCTCGTCCCATTCTGTAGCCTTATCTTAGATTTGGGCAGCTTCAAATCAGGGAGCCAGTGTATTTGGAAAATACCTAAAAGTGGTTTAATTCAACCTACCCACTTTACAGAAGAGTAAATGGAAAATTGGAGGTTAGGTCGCTCATGTTTATATGAACTATTGAGGATACAGATAGAGCTGGAAATCAGGTCTTCCAACTGTTAGTCCAAAACTTTTCCCACAAAAACCTGGCGCTTCCCTCCAGTAGCACATATTGAACATCTACTAGTATATTCCAGGCCCTCTTCTAGGCCCTATAAAAACAGAGTTGAATAAGAAATAATCTCTGCCCTTGAAATGCCTAGGAACTTTCCATTCATTCATCCATCCCTTTGTACGTTCATGTTTCTGTCCATGCAATCACTGATCTGGTGTTTGTCTTATCTGTTCATCTCACTACCCATCCATCCCCCCATTCGTCCTTTATCTACTCATTTTTCCATTTGTCTCCTCTCTCCATCCATCCATGAGTACATCTGTTTATCTCTTTATCCATTCATCCAGCCATCAGTGTGTCTATAAGGCCCAAGTCCTAGGCTGTGCTGGGATGGAGATAAGTAAGAAACAATCTTTGCTGTTTAGGCTTTTACATCCAGTGCAGACAGACACAGAAACCTGCCTCAAAGGATGTATAAAAGGCTCTCGTACACAAGAAAGGACTTGCAATTCTGCCTCGTATTTCTGTGAAGGCTTCATTCTAAGGGTTGAAATAGTGCTGCATCTGGATAGGAGTTTCCCAGTGGGGAAGATGGGGAAGAACCTAGGCTGAGGGAACAACAGGAGCAGGGGCGTGAGGCTGTCCGGTGGGTGTAGGAGGAAGAGGAGTTTCGTGTCATTTGATGACTCCTTCAAGGAGCAAACTGGCCAGTTATAGTCAAGAGGGGTTGTCAAAGCCTATTTGGAGAGGACCTTGAATCCCAGAGCCAGAATGCCACCCTATGCGCGTTTGGGAGGCACTGTAAGATTTTCAGCAGGAAGTGACATAGGTAGGTGAGCATTTCAGAGAGACCACTCCAGGCAGTAGGATTAGAGGCAGAGGGACTCAAGTGTGAGGAGTGTTTAGAGCCTGTTCTGACAGCCTTAGGACAGTTGACATCCTGCCTGAATCAAGGTGTCCATAGCAGAGATGGGGCCTGCAGGGTGGGGTTTGAGCGACATGTGGAGAAAGTAGAACTTGAATGGTGATGTCAGAGATGTCTGACTGGGGCCGGAGGGGTGGAGGGAGGGGGTATAGATGACAATGCCATTTGCTTAGCTAAAGACCACAGGAGAAAGGGTTGTGGGGGATGCTGCAACAGTAATGCATTCAGTTTTAGACGAGCTGCATTCGAGGTGTCTGTGGGATAGCTGGGGAGACGTTGAGGATGCAGTTAATTATAGGATCTGGAGCTTGTGAGAGATGGGGCTGGGGGGAGCCAGTGAGACATCTGGAGTGTGGAGAGTGCTGACTGCGCGCAGAGCAGCAGAGGCAAAGCCGGAGTGGAGGCCTGGCATGGACCTTCTTATTAAAGGCATGGACCTTCTGGACTGCAGCAGGCTGTCCCAGAGAGGGAGGAGAGCGAGGAGTGTGTGAATTTTGCTAATTGTACTGTGGTTATGTACACTGTTGGCATTAGGGGGATCTGAGGGAAGGGTGTTTGGAAATAATGTGTGTTGTCTTTGCAACACTTCTGTAAGTGTAAGATAATTTCAAACCAGAAGTAGATTGTACTGGGTGCAGCAGTGCCTGCTTTACTCCTGTGTTATGTTTTTAAATGCCTTTTTTGATTTACATATTGACATGCAATAAATTACACATGTTGAAAGTGTGTGATAAGCATACGATAGTTTGATAAGTTTTGACATACATATTCTCTCATGAAACCCATCACTGCAGTCAGGGTAGTGAATACACCTGTCACTTACAGACAGTTCCTCATATCTCCTTGTCATTTCTCTCTGTGCCTGCACCTCTCCCTGCAATAGACAACTGCTGATCTGCTTTGCGTTACTGTGGTTAGTTTGTCTAGAGTTTTGTATAAATGGAATCATACAGCATGTACTCTTTTTAAAATTATTACTTAAAAAATTGAGGTAAATTATATATTTAATTTACCATCTTTACCATTTTAAAGTGTCTAGTTCAGTGGTAATAAATAGATTTATAAGGTCGGGCACGATGGCTCATGCCTGTAATCCCAGCACTTTGGGAGGCCGAGGGGGGCAGATCACCTGAGATCAGGAGTTCGAGACCAGCCTGGCCAACACGGTGAAACCCTGTCTCTATTAAAAATACAAAAATTAGCCAGGCGGCATGGTGGAGCATGCCTGTAGTCCCAGCTACTCAAGAGGCTGAGGCAGGAGAATCGCTTGAACCCAGGAAGTGGAGGTTGCAGTGAGGCAACATTGCACTACCGCACTCCAGCCTGGGTAACAGACCGAGGCTCCATCTCAAAAAAAATTTTTTTTAATTATAAAAATAAAATAAATACATTTATATGTATATTTTCTCCCATCATCACCTCTCTTCCTTCCCCTTCCCAGCCTCTGGTAACAACCAGTCTACTCTCTATCTTCATGAGATCCACCTTTTTAGCTCCTGCATATGAGTGAGAACATGCAATATTTATCTGTTTATGCTTGGCTTATTTCACTTAACATAATGACCTCTAATTTCATTTATGTTGCTGCAAATGATAGGATTTCATTCTTTTTTATGGCTGAATAATACTCCATAGTGTATTTTTGGTGGAATCTTTAAATTTTTTTCTAGGTATAAGATCATGTCCTTTGCAAACAAGGGTAATTTGACATCTTCCTTTCAGATTTGGATGCCTTTTACTTCTTTTTCTTGCCTAATTTCTCTGACTCAGCATGTACTCTTCTGTCTTGCTCCATTTAGTCAGCATAATTATTTTGAGATTCATCCATTTTGTTTCTTGCAAAAATAGTTCATTTTTATTTCCGCAGAGTATTCCATTGAATGGATATATCACAATTTGTTTATCCATTTAGCTGTTGGTGGCCATTTGTTTCCAATATGGGGCAGTTACAAACAGCTTCTATGAACATTTGTGTACAAGTCTTTGTACGGATATATATTTCCTCTTCTCCTGGGCAGACACCTAGGAGTGTGATGGCTGCATCATATGGTAAGTGTATGTTTAACTTTACCACCACGAGAGTGCCATTTCCCCCACACCTTCGCCAACACTTGTTATAGCCAGTCTTTTTATTGAAGCCATCCTAATGGGCATGTAATGGTATCTCACTGTGGTTTTAATTTGCATTTTTCTAATGACTTACATTGTAGAGCATTTCTTCATGTGCTTATTTGCCATCTGTATGTCTTTGGTGAAATGCCTATTAAAATATTTTGACCGTTTTTTAAAATTAGCTTGCTTGTTTTCTTATTGTTGAGTTTTGAAAGTTCTTTGTTTATTCTGAATATAAATGTTTAATCAGATATATTCTTCACGAATATTTTCTCCCTGTCTGTGGCTTGTCATTTTATTTTTTAAAGTGTCTTTCAAAGTGCAGAAGTATGTAATTTTGATGAAGTCCAATTTATTTATTGAGATCCAGAATACATAAGGAACTCATGTACAAGAACTTTGTTCTTTTATGGATCATGCTTTTGGTGTCAGATATTAAAAAATCTTTGATATGATATTCAAGGCCAAATATTTTTTTCTGTGTTTTCTTCTAGAAATTTTATAGTTTTAGGCTTTACATTTAGGTCTATGATCCATTTTTTAGTTAATTTTTTATAGATGATTACAAGTATGTATCCAAGTTTGTCTTTGTGCATATGGATATCCGGTTGTCCTAACACCATTTGTTAAGAAGGCTGCCTTTTGTCTACTGCATTTCCTTTGCAGTTTTGTCAAAAATTCGAATATGTATGGGTTTATTTGTTGACGCTTCCTTCTGTTTCACTGATCTGTGTGGCTATTTTGATGCCGATACCATGCTGCCTTGATTAATGTAACTTTATGATTCTTGAAATCTGGTAGTCCTAACCCTTCAACTTTGTTTTTTCAGAGGGGTGTGTGTGTACGTGTGTGTGTGTGTGTGTGTGTGTGTGAGAGAGTTCTAGCTTCTTTGCATCTCCCTATGACCTTTATAATTAGCTTGTCAATTTGTAAGAACAGCTTCCTGATACTTTAACTGGGGTTATGTTGAATATATGCAACAATTTGGGGAGAATTGATATGTTAATAATATTGACTCTTCTTTTAAAAATTGATTTATAGTATTTGTACATATTTATGGGGTTCATGTGATATTTTTGATAGGGCCAGGAGGCAGAGAAATTCCAGGCAGAAAAGGGCAGGGTCCCTGGCAAGGGCCCCACCCTCAAGCCTGACCCAAAGTGAGAACTTTACATCCCCGTTTTCCTGCTTGAATGTTGCCTTTTCCAAAACCACCCCTGGCCCACCCTGCACCCCCATCCCCTATCCATAAAAACCCCAGGCTTCACTGGCAGAGGGCAGAGAAAGGGAGAAGAGAAGAAGCAGCTGAACATCAGAGAGAAGCAGTTTGACTTCAGAGGAATGGCTTGATGGTGGGACTTTGGAGAAAAACACCTTCCTGCTCCATCCCCTTTCTAGCTCTCCTTCCCACTGAGAGCCACTTCCATGGGCAATAAAATCCTCCATATTTACCACCCTTCAATTTGTTCGTGCAACCTGATTATTCCTGGATGCTGAATAACAGCTCAGGAGCTACGGGTGTGAACACTAAAGGCTGTCACACTGACCCTCTGCCCTCACTGGTGGAGAGCAACCACTTCACGTGAAAAGGCAGAGGGCCCACTGAGCTGTTCAACACTTAAGCTGTCTGTGGATGGCAAAGCTAAAAGAGCACACTGTAACACACGCCCTCTGGAGCTTCAGGGATCACAAGTACTCCCCACTTGATGCTGCCTTGGGCCTGCACGGTGTTTTGCTCCTGCTGGCACCCAGAAGCACTCACCTTGGCTCGGCTCCTGTACCTCATCACCTGCGTGCTGCCCCTCCCATGAGGGGTTGAGAGCTGCAGGCTAAGTGAGCACCCTTGTCATGAGGCCTGCAGAGGGTTTAGGGAAAATTTCCTGTTTCATTTTGTTATATGCATAGACTGTTTAATGATCAAACGAGGGTGTTTGGGGTATCCATCCCCTCAAGTATTTATCATATCTATATCTTGGGAACATTTCAAGTCCTCTCTTCAAGCTATTTTGAAATATAAAACACATTGGTAACTGTAGTCACCCTACTCTGCTATAAAACATTAGAACTTCTTCCTTCTATAAAACTATATGTTTGTAACCATTAACCAACCTCTCTTTATCCCCCTGCACCACACTTACCCATCCAAGTCTCTAGTGTCTATCATTCTGTTCTCTACCTCCACGAGATTAACTTTTTTAGCTCTTACATTTGAATGAGAATATGGGATATTTGTCTTTCTATGCCTGGCTTATTTTACTTAACATAATGACCTGCAGTTCTATCCATGTTGCTGCAAATGATATGATTTCATTTTTTTGACCAAATAGTATTCCACTGTGCATATATACCACATTTTCTTTATTCATTTGTCCACTGATGGATACTTAGGTTGATTCTATATCTTTGCTATTGTAAATAGTGCTTCACTAAGCGTGGAGTTCAGGTATCCTTTTGATACACTGATTTCTTTTCCTTTGGATAAATACCCAGTAGTGAGATTGCTAGACTGTATGGCATTTCTGTTTTTAGTTTTTTGAGAAATCCCCATACACTTTTCCATAGTGGCTGCTCTATTTTGTGTACCCACCAACTGTATAAAAGTTCCCTTTTCTCTACATCCTCACTGTCATCTGTTACTTTTTGTCATTTAGTAATAGCCATTCTAACTGGGCTAGGAGAATATCTCATTGTGATTTTGATTTGCATTTCCCTAATGATTAGTGATGCTGAGTGTTCTTTAATATACCTGTTGACCATTTGTAAATGTCTATTCATGTCCTTTGTCCACTTGTTAATGGGACTTTTTATTTTTTTTACTGTTGTTTGAGTTCCTTGTACATTCTGGATATTCATCTCTTGTCAGATGGACAGTTTGCATATATTTTAATCCCATTCTGTGGGTTGTCTTTTCACTTTGTCGGTTGTTTTCTGTGCAGAAGCTTTTTAGTTTAATATAGTCCCACTTGTCTATTTTTATTTTTGTTGCCTGTGCTTTTGAGGTCTTAGCCACAAAAATCTCTGTCTAGACCAATATCCTGAAGTGTTTCCCCTGTATGTTTTCTTCTAGTAGTTTTATAGTTTTAGGTCTTATGTTTAAATCTTTAATCCATCTTGAGCTGATTTTTGTATATGGTGAGAGATGGGGTCCAGTTTCATTCTTCTGCATATGGATATCTAATTTTCCCAGCACCAGTTATTGAATAGGGTGTCCTTTCCTCAGTGTATTTTCTTGGCATCTTTGTCAAAAATCAGTTGGCTGTAAATACGTGGATTTATTTCTGGGTTCTCTATCCTGTGATAATTCTTAACCAATAACAAGGTATATCTCCAGGTTTACGGTTGTCTTTTTTAATACTTTAAATATATTGCTACATTGTTTGTCTTCTTGCTTGCATTGTTTCTGATGAAAAATTTGTGTTATCTTCATCTTTATCCCTCTATATGTGACATTTTCCCCTCTATTTTAAGATTTTCTTTATTACTGGTTTTGAACAATTTTATTATGATGTGTCTTGGTGTAGTTTTATTGATGTTTCTTGTTCTTGGAGTTTATTGAGCTTCTTGGATCTGTGGGTTTGTGGTTTTCATCAAATCTAGAAAATTTAGGATGTTATTTCTTCAAATATTTTTCTGTGTATTCTTTTCTTCAGGAACTTCAGTTGCATGTATATTAGGTTGTTTGAAGTTGTTCCATGGTTTACTGGCATTCCTTTCATTTTTTAAGCCATTTTTCCTTTGTGTGATTTATTTTGGATAGTTTCTATTGCTGTGTCTTTAAGTTCACTAATATTTTCTCCTGCAATGACTAATCTGCTGTTAATCCCATATAGTATATTTTCCATTTCAAACATTGCAGTTTTCATCTCTAAAAATTCAATTTCGGTCTATAAAAATATACCTTCCATGTGTCTGGTTAACTTTTTAAAAATATGGAATATTTTCAAAATATTATAATATAATACAATATGCTAAAATATAGTAACATAATGTCCTTCTTTGCTCGTTCTGATATTCATGTTAGTTCTAGATTGGTTATGATTGATTTTGTGCCTTATTATGGGTTATGTTTTCCTGCTCTTTTTTATGCCTATTAGTCTCTTATTGGATGTCATGCATTGTGAATTTTACCTTGTGTTGCTAGCTATTTTAGTATTCCTAAAAATGTTCCTTAGCTTTGTTTTAAAAAGCAGTTAAATCATTTGAAAACAGTTTATTTTTTTGTCTTGCTTTGAAGATGAGTTGTACAAGACCATAGCTGTATGTGGTGTTGGGCTGGTTATCCCTCACTATGAAGGCAAGCCTCTGAGTACTCTACTGAATGCCCTGTGGAGCTTGGGGCTTTACAATCTGGCTGGTAGGAACAGGCGCTATTCCTGGCCCTCAGAACCTGAAGCTGTTCCCTCAGATGCCCTTGAATGTTTTTTTCCCCTGGCCTTGGATAATGCATGTACTGCTCAGTGCTTTGCTACATACTCTGGGGGACTCGTCAGGTAGCTCCAGAGTTCTCTGTGTAGCTGTATACTCTTTAGAATCTGCCCTGCACACTGCAGACACCTAAGTATCTACAGACTTCTGTCTCCCAACTCAAATTTTGCAGACCTCTGCCTTGCTTCTCTCCCTCCCTGCCCTACAGCCTGGACACTCCAGGCAGCGAGGCAGGGCAGCTGTAGGCTCACTTTGTTTGTTTTCTGTCTCACAGGGATTATTGTCATTTGTTGCCTGATGACCACTGGCCTGAAAACTGTTGTTTCATGTATTTTTTTTTCTGGCTTTTTGGTTGTGTCAGGTAAGAGTAAATCCATACCCTGTGACACCATCTTGCTAGAAGTAGAAGTGTTACCTTTTTAATATATTATTTTTCCTTCAAAACCCACATTAGAAGGAACTTTGTAACAACAACCGACAGCTTGACAAAGTGTGTTCCCATTGTCCTGTGATTGCTCTGCTTTTCAAAGTAAGCCTGCGAGGTGGGTGTCATGTCATCCCCATTTTACAGATAAGGGGACAGAACCTCAGAGAGGTGAAGAGACTTGTTCAAGGTCACACGGTCTATAACGGCAGAGCCAGGATTGAACCCAAGTCCCCATTATACTTGTAGTTCCCACAGGGGAGACAGAACCACATGAAGGGTTGGCATCACTATATTTTTTTTTGGGAGAGGTCAATAAAGGTGGGCTCAGAGAGTAATATATCAAGGCCTACGGGGCTAATGAGCCCAGGAGTTTGTGGAGAGTCAGAGATCTCCATGAGTTGTTTTCCTAATGCCCCTTCCCACACCCAACCCCTTCAGATAAAGGAGTGTGCCTTCTACCTCATGCATCCATCCAGACAGGAGAATTGGGCTTTTTGCCAGGGCTGTAGACCTGGAGGTCTGGAACTTGGCCTGGCTTTGTGGGCTTTCATGGAAAGTGGAGAAGAGGGATTAGGGAAGAGGTAATGGATAAGAAGTACTGGTTGCTCAGGTTGGGGTGGTCAGGGAGGTGAGGGGAGGGAGAAGGGAGTACCAGAAGGCCAGTGGGTAGGCTTGCAGGAGCTGTGGGTGGATGGCGTGGCCCCAGGGGACAGGAGCTAGGTCCAGCCGGCTCCCACTGTCTTCTGGCTTGTAGGATTATCTCTGCTCCTCCCCCTTTCTCTGAGTGAGAAAGGTGGGAAATAAAATAATGAAGCCGTGAGTAGGTGAGGTGTTAGGGAGACAGCTTGCCAGGGTGGGCAGCACAGATGACTGGTGGGTGGGGAGGGAGGTGGTGGGAGGTTAATGTGCAGATCCTCAGATCTCCGAGAAACAGGGTGGAAGGGAGTCAGTCCGGTGTGCAGAGTTGCAGGTGGGGGCAATAGTGGGTGATACCCAAGGCACAGGTGGTTTCCTGGGAAGAAGGTGATGTGGTCTTTTCTTGGCTATGGAGGAGATTTTGAAATGTACTTGGGTAATTTGTTTTTAGTCAAATTTCCTTCTGACTGGGTTATTTAAAGCGTAGAATGGAATGGAACATAATAGCTACCATTTATTAAGTATCTACCGTATGCTTGGAATGCATTTCACGTGCATCAACCCACTTCATATCACATTTACCCTGTGAGGTAGGTTCTGTTACTAATTCCATTTACAGGCGAGGAGTCTGTGTCTCAGGGATATGGTGGCTAGTTCAAGCCCCCGCTGCATTTTATTTATTTGAGATGAGAAAGATGTTCATGGGGGAGTCAGAGCCTGCTTCGATAGAAATCATCCAGTAGTTTTTATTGTTTTGTTTCTTCCCAGGGCCTGCTCTTCCACTTGGCAAATTCGGAGCGCTGGAAGGTGGGGTGGGATGGGGACTTGGGAAAGAAAATAAGGATTAAAGACACAGTGGATGCCCAAGAGAAAAGAAAACTTAATTGTACATTTTCGTAATAACCCTGTTTGATAACCATTGAGAGAACTCCAAATGTTTTGTCCACCTAAGAGCAACCCTCTGTCTTCAGGGAGACAGGAGCTGCATCCCCAGCACTGCCTCCCTGCCTGGGGGCGGGCATTTGACCCTAGCTGTGCCAATCATAGCATTCCACCTCCACAGCAATAGTAATTGGTCCAGGCATGAGCACATGACTCAAACCAGGCCAATCACATCCTTTTCTGAGATTTTTTATTTAAAATTGGAGCTCGTAACCTTACTTACCCCTCTAGCAAAGGGTAATGGTAGGTCTTCCCAGATCATCTGGCAAACACATTCTTAACCTTGTGGAGACACTGACTGGAACAAATTAAACATATGCCAATAAAGTAAAGAAAAGATGGGCAGTTTCTCTTTCTCCCTTCCAAAAGCCCTGATTTCTGTTTAGAGAGCTATGTAGTCCTAGAAACATTGACTCTCCCTGTCCCTGTGACCCCAGAGTGGACCACTTGGCCTGGGCTGGGCACTCAGCACATTCCATTTCCCCACTGCAGAAACTGCCCAAGATGGGCAGTTATCAAGGCTAGTCCAATCAGAGTGAATTAAAGACTTGTACTGAATGCTGAAGTGCAGTGTCTCTTTCCTGTTGGATGAGAACCAACCAGGAAGCATGCAACTACCCTGTGAGCTTCCATTTTGGGACCAGCAGGCAAGCCAGTCTTGGAATAAGTTTGATCCTTTTTTTTTTTTTAATGTATGTATGTATGTATTTTTTGAGATGGAGTTTCACTCTGTCACCCAGGCTGTAGGGCAATGGTGAGATCTTGGCTCACTGCAACCTCTGCCACCTGGGTTCAAGCTATTCTCCTGCCTCAGCCTCCCGAGTAGCTGGGATTACAGGCTCCCGCCACCACTCCTGGCTAATTTTTGTATTTTTAGTGGAGATGGGGTTTTGCCATGTTGGGCAGGCTGGTCTTGAACTCCTGACCTCACATGATCCACTCGCCTTGGCCTCCCAAAGTGATTACAGGCGTGAGCCACCTTCGCCTGGCCTGAGATTGATTTTTTTTTTTTTTTTTTTGAGATGGAGTCTCGCTCTATCGCCCAGGCAGGAGTGCAGTGGTGCAATCTCAACTCACTGCAACCTCCGCCTTTGGGGTTCAAGTGATTCTTCTGCCTCAGCCTCCTGAGTAGCTGGGACTACAGGCACGCACCACCATGCCCGGCTAATTTTTGTATTTTTAGTAGAGATAGAGTTTCACCCTATTGGCCAGGCTGGTCTCGAATTCCTGACCTCCAGTGATCCGCCTGCTTTGGCCTCCCAAAGTGCTGGGATTACAGGCATGAGCCACTGCACCCAGCCGAGAATGATTCTTAAGAAGAGAGACAAGCAGAGATTCTGGGTCTAGCTAGTTGACCACTTCTTCCCTGAAGCCCATCCTATCTCTGGCTCCTCCTGATACGGAAGTCATAAATCCCCTCTATGGTCTAAAATACAACCACAAGCCTCTCAGCTGACAAGTTAGTCTTGATGCTATTTGAATTCTGGTTCCAGTCAGCTGAAAAGCCAGGTCAATGGGATTTTCCCTCACCAGTGATTTGTTATATGAGTGATTACACTCTTGTTTTTTCTTAAAAAATATATTTTTTAAATTTTAATGAAAACTTAGAGACATATACAAAAGTAGAATAATATCAGGTTGGTGCAAAAGCAGTTGTGGTTTTTGCCATTACTTTCAATCTATCAACTAATGGTAATGATCCTGATTTGAATCTAATTCAGACATCCAATTAGAAACTTGACGCCGGGCATAGTGGCTCATACCTGTAATCCCAGCACTTTGGGAGGCTGAGTTTTGCCATTACTGTCAATGGCAAAAACCACAACTACTTTTGCACCAATGTAATATAAGGCACTTGTTCTCAACCAGGGTTGAGGGTGTCAAAGGGGGCAAAAATTAGTTCTTGTGGAGGGAGTGAATAAATCTTAGGCAAATCTCTAAATAAGATTCTTTTAAGGCCAGGCTTGGTGGCTCACACCTGTAATCCTAGCACTGGTAGGCCCAGGTGGGTGGATCATTTGATTCCAGGAGTTTGAGATTAGCCTGGGCAACATGGCAAAACCCCATCTCTACTACAAAAAATACAAATATTTACCTAGGCGTGGTGGCGTGCACCTGTAGTCCCAGCTACTGGGAGGGGGCTGAGGTGGGAGGATTGCCTGAGTCTAGGAAGTCAAAGCTGCAGTGAGCAGTGATCACACTGTACTCCAGCCTGGGTGACAGAGTGAGAACCCATCTCAAAAAAAAAAAAAAGATTAAAAGCTAGTAACCACAATATTGTCATGCCTAAAACATTAAAAATACCTTCTTAATATCATAAAATACCCAATGTTCAAGGTGTTTTTGTTTGTTTTTGTTTTTGAGACAGAGTCTTGCTGCATTGCCCAGGCTGGAGTACAGTTGCACAATCTTGGCTCACTGCAACTCCTGCCTCCTGGGTTCAAGTGATCCTCAGCCTCCTGAATATCTGGGACTACAGGTATATGCCACCATGCCCGGCTTATTTTTTTGTATTTTTAGTAGAGAAAGGGTTTTGCCATGTTGGCCAGGCTGGTCTTGAACTCCTGGCCTCAAGTGATTTGCCCGCCTCAGCCTCCCAAAGTGCTGGGATTACAGGCGTGAGCCGCGTGCCTGGCGTCAAGTTTCTAATTGGATGTCTGAATTAGATTTAAGTCAGGATCATTGCCATTAGTTGATAGATCTCTTAAGTCTATTTAACATAAAGTTCTCCATGGTTCTCTTTCTTTTTTCTTGCAATTTACTTGTTGAAGACATTGGGTCATTTGTCTGTAGAGTCTCTCACAGTGTGGATTTTGTAGATTGCATTCTTGTGGTATCATTTAACATGTTCCTCTGTGCTTTAATTTGTTGCTCGGCTTTTATTGGAGTATGGCTGATTGACAGTAAACTGCATCTATTTAGAGTGTACAGTTTTATAAACTTTCACAGATGTATACATCCACGAAACCATTACCACAATTGAGATAGTGAACATAGCCTTTGTCCCAACGGTGTCCTCTTGACTGTCATCACTCCCCCATGGATGCCACCCTCCCATAAGAAAGCACTGTTCTCATTTGTGTTACTATAATTTAGTTTGCATTTCTTAGTGTTTTAGCTAGAATCATAGAATATGTACTTTTTTGTCTGGCTTCTTTCACTCAGCATAATTATTTTGAGATTAATCTATGTTGTTGTTTGCATAAATATTTCATTCCTGTTTATTGCTAAATAATATTCAATTGAATGGCTATATCATGATTTGTTGTTAGCCATTTGAATTTTTTCCAGTTTTTGGCTTTTACAAACAAAGCTGCTCTGAACATTTGTGTACAAGTTTTTACATGGATATATATTTCCTTTTCTCTTGGGAATTTCCTAAGAGTGGAACGGCTGGATCATATTGTAAGCATGTGTTTAACTGCACCCACCATGAGAGTGCCATTTCCTCTACATTCTCACCAATACTTGTTATGGTCAGTCTTTTTCACTGAAACCATTCTATTAGGTTGGTACAAAAGTAATTGCAGTTTTGCTCTCAAAAGTAATGGCAAAAACCACAATTACTTTTGCACACACCTAATAATATGTGAGTAATGTGTGTGCGTGTGTGTGTGTGTGTGTGAATTCTAGCTCCTTTGCTAGAATTTTAAAATTAGCTTGCTAATTTGTACAAAAAAATGCTCCCTGATATTTTTATTAAGATTGTGTTGCATATAGGGATCAAACTGGGAGAATTGCCATGTTAAATATTGACTATTCTGGCCGAGCACGGTGGCTCACGCCGGTAATCCCAGCGCTTTGGGAGGCCGAGGCAGGTGGATCACCTGAGGTCAGGAGTTTGAGACCAGCCTGCAAAACCCTGTCTCTACTGAAAATACAAAATATTAGCCAGACATGGTGGCGGGTGCCTGTAATCCCAGCTCTTCGGGAGGCTGAGGCAGGAGAATCGCTTGACCCCAGGAGGCGGAGGTTGCAGTGAGTCAAGATCGTGCCACTGGGCAACAAGGGTGAAACTCCATCTCAAAAAAAAAAAAAAAAAAAAAAAAAAGGACTATTCTGCTATTCTGACCCAATAACCAGGTATATCTTTCTACTTGTTTGTCTTTGAGAGCTTCTTTCAGCAAGGTTTCATAGTTTAGAGTGTACTAGTCTTCTGCATCTTTTGTCAAATGTCTGTTTCACATTTTTAATGTTTTATAAATGATATTTTAAAAAGTTGTAATTTCTGATTGTTTCTGACATACAAAAATATAATCTGCCCTGGTCTGCACGTCTTGTATCCTGCAATCTTGCCCAAAGTCATTTATTCATACTAGTAGCTTTTTTTTGCATTTCTTTGGATTTTCTACATAGACAAATACAGTTTTGCTTCTTCCTTTCTAATCAGGATGCCTTTTATGTATCTTTTTCCTTTTATTACTGGCTACGAACTCCAGAACAATGTTTAATAGGAGTGGTGAGAGCTTGTCTTGTCTTGTTTCTGATCTCAGGAGGAAAGCATTCAGTCTTTCATCAGTAAGTGTGATTTTTTGTTGTAAGTGGTTTGCAGATTTTTTTTTAATCGGGTTAGGTTCCTTTCTGTTCCTAGTTTTCTAAGAGATTTTTTCTAAAAAATCAGGAATGGGCATTGAATTTTTTTGAATGCTTTTTTCTGTGTAAGTGATCATATGGTTTCTGTTTTGTAGTTACTATTGTAAGTTAAACATTGATTGATTTTTCTAATAATGACCAACCTTTAATTTCTGACACATAGTCAGTCCAATTGGTTATTATGCTTTTAGTATGTTGTCAGATTCAAATTGCTAAAATTTGTTTAGACTTTTTTTCCCTATCTGTATTTATGAGCATTATTGGTCTGTAGTTTTCTTTTCTCACAATGTCTTTTTCTGGTTTTGGTATCTGGGTAATGCTTGCTTCATGGAACAAATTGGGGGAATATTTGCTCCTCTTCAATTTTTTGGAAGAGTTTGTGTAGAACTGGCGTTTTTTCTTCCCCTAAATATTTGATAACATTCACGATGAAGTGATGTGGACTGGAAGTTTTCTTTGTGGGAAGGTTTTAACTACAACTGCAACTTCTAAAATAGATAAGGGGCTATTCCCCTTGACTACTGCTTCTTAAGTGAGCTTTTGTAGTTTGTATCTTTCATGAATTTGTCTCTTTAAGTTTTCAGATTTATTGGCATAAAGAGTACACAGTATTCTCTTATCCTTTTAATATCTATAGAATCTGTACTGATGGCACCTCTCTTATTTTTGATCTTGATAATTTTTATTTTCTTTCCTTTTTTCCTGATCTATCTGGCTAGAAATTTATCAATTTTATTTATCTTTTTAAACAACTAGCTTTCATTTTCATTGATTGTCTGTATTGTTTTTCTATTTTGTAGTTTATTGATTTTCATTCTCACTATTTTCTTTGATGATGATGATGATGATGATGATGATGATGATGATGATGATGATGATTGCTGTTATTATTTGAGTCAGGGTCTTGCTCTGTTGCCCAGGCTGGAGTGCAGTGGTGTGATCTTGGCTCGCTGCAACCTCCGCCTCCTGGGTTCAAGTGATTCTCGTGCCTCAGCCTCCCGAGTAGCTGGGACTACAGGTGCATGCCACCACAACTGGCTAATTTTTGTATTTTTAATAGAAACGGTGTTTCATCATGTTGGCCAGGCTGGTCTAGAACTCCTGACCTCAAGTGATCTGCCCGTCTTGGCCTCCCAGTGTGCTGGGATTACAGGCATGAGCCACTGCACCCAGCCTCTTTGTTTATTTTAAATTTAATATCTCTTCTTATTCTAGTTTTGTAAAGGGAAAGTTGGACTCACTGATTTAAGATGTGATTATTTTCTTTTCTTCTTTTTTCTTTTGAGACAGGTTCTTGCTCTGTTACCCAAACTGGAGTACAGCTCACTGTAGCCTCAACCTCCTGGGCTAAAGCGATCCTCCCATCTCAGCCTCCTGAGTAGCTGAGACTACAGGCGCATGCCACCATGCCCAGCTAATTTTTAAAGCATTTTTTGTATGCTTTATGCTCTGTGTTGGCCAGGCTGATTGCTAATTCCTGGGCTCAAGTGATCTGCCTTGGCCTCCCAAAGTGTTGGGATTACAGGCAAGAGCCACTGCACCCAGCAGACCTTTATTATTTTCTAATATAGGCATTTAGTGCTATAAATTTCCCACTAAATGATGTGTTAGCAGCCTCCCACAGATTTTGATATGTTGTATTTTCACTTTCATTCAGTCCAAAATATAAGTGTCTTTTGACTTTTTTCTTTGATCCGTGGGTTATTTTGAAGTATGGTATTTAATTTCCCAACACTTGGGGGTTTTCCAGAGATCTTTTTGTTGCTGATTTTTAATTAATTATATTTTTGTCAGATAACACACTTTTTATGACTTGAATCCTTCTGAATTTATTGAGATTTGTTTTATGACCCAGAATGTGGTCTATCTTGTTAAATGTTCTATGTACACTTGAGAAGAATGTGTATTCTGTTGTTGTTGGATGGAATGTTCTGTAAATGTCAATCAGGTCAAGTTGATTGATAGTGTTATTCATCTTCTATATTCTTGTTGACTTTCTATATAGTTGTTCTATTCATTATTGATGATATTAAAATTTCTGACTATGATCGTGGATTTTTAAATTTCTCCCTGCAGTGCTATCATTTTTTACTTCATATATTTTGAAACTTCTGTTATTAGGTACATAGGTGTATAGAATTGTTATGTTCTTTTGATTAATTGTCCCCCTTTATTACAAAATAAACTTTTTTATCTTATAATAGTTTTTGCTCTGAAGTATACCTTGTCTAATATTAATATGGCCACTCCAGCTATCTTTGAACTGTGTTAACATGCTATATAATTTTCCATCTTTTTACTCTTAACCTATTGGTGTCTTCATATTTAAAGTGTGTTTCTTGTAGACAGCATAGAGTCTGGTCCTGCCTTTTAAAAAAATGCAATCTGGTAATTCCTGTATTTTAATTGGGAATGTTTGGATCACTTATATTTAATGTGTTTATTAATATAGTTACTTTGAAGTCTGTCATCTTATTTGTGTTCTATTTCCCGTCGTTCTTTGTTTCCTTTTTCCTTTTGTTCTGACTTTTTTGGATTAATTTTCATTTTATTTTTTAAAATTGACAAATAATAATTGTATATATTCATGGAAAGCATAGTGATGTTTCAATACATATAATGTATAGTGATCAGATCAGGGTAATTAGCATATTCATCATCTCAAACATTTTATTGTTTCTTTGTTTTGGGAACATTCAGTATCCTCCTGGATTAATTTTTTTAATAATTCTATTTTATTTATTATTATTGTTTTTGAGACAGAGCCTTGCTCTGTTGCCCAGGCTGGAGTGCAGTGGTGCAATCTCAGCTTACTACAACCTCTACCTCCCGGGTTCAAGTGATTCTCGTGCCTCAGCCTCCCGAGTAGCTGAGATTACGGGTATGCACCACCACGCCCAGCTAATTTTTTTGTATTTTAGTAGAGATGGGGTTTCGCTATATTTGGCCAGGCTGGTCTTCAACTCCTGGCCTCAAGTAATCTGCCTGTCTTGGCCTCCCAATGTGCTGGGATTACAGGTGTGAACCACCACGCCTGGCCTGTGATTCCATTTTATATGGTGCACTATTAGTAAATTATTAGCTATAACTGTTTGTTCTGTTATTTTAGTAGTTATTTTAGGGTTTATAAGGTATATGTTTATTTATTGCAATCTATCTTCAAGCAAGTACTATTATACCACTTCATGTACAGTATAAGCTTAGAATAATGTACTTCTATTGCCTCCTTCCTATTCTTTATACTTATTGTCATGTATCTTACTTTTGCTTATGTTTTAAAATCCAGACTACATTGTTAGTGTTTTTGTATGGTCAATTTTATGTAAGGAGTTTCAAAAAATTAAAAAAAATTATATATTTACGTACATAGTTACCATTTTTGGTATTCGTCATTCCTTTGTCTGGAACCAGATTTCCAGCTGGTATTATTTTTTTCTGCCCGAAGCCCTCACTTTAACATTTCTTATAGTGTGGATCTGCTGGTGATTAATTTCCTCAGCTTTTGTGAGTCTTTACTTCACTTTCATTTTTCAATATTTTAACTAAGTATAGTGAAAATATTTTATTGTCAATTACGTTGAGAATGTTTTTCTTTCAGTAGCCTAATGATGTTTATCTGCTGTCTTCTTGATTGCCATATTTCTGACAAGAAATCTGTGCCATCCTTATTTTGATCTCTCTACATGACATGTCCTTTTCTTTTTTCTTTGGCTGCCTTTAAGATGTTCTTTTGCTAAGTGGTCTTTACAAATTTGACTATAACATGTAATTTTCTTCAGTTTTTTTTTTCTTTTTTTTTTTTGGTGTGGGTGTGTGCTTGGATTCTTTGAGCTTTTTAGATCTATGGCAAGTTTAGAAAATTTTTGGTCGTTGTTTCTTCAGATATTTTTTCTGTCCCCACCTCACTCCTGTTATTTGGTGACTCAAATTATATACATAATAGGCTGCTTGACCTTGTCCCACAACTCACTGATACTTTTTTAAAATTAATAGACTTTATTTTTTAGAGCAGTTTTAGATGTACAGAAAAATCATGCAGATAATTCCCATATGTCCATTCTCCCCTCTCCTTCCTATAGCTTTTTTAGTGTTATACGTTAGTTACAATTGATGAACCAACACTGATCCATTATTGCTAACTCAAGTCCATAGTTTACATTAGGGTTCACTCTTTGTGTTGTACATTCTAGGTATGTTGACAAATGATGATATCATATATCCACCATTACAGTATCATACAGAATCATTTCTCTGCCTTGAAAACAATCCCCTATGCTCCACCTAAATGTACCTGCTTCCCCTAAATGTACCTGCTTCCCCTAAATGTACCTGCTTCCCCTCTCCCTGGAAACCACTATCTTTTATTGTCTGTCTATATTTGCCTTTTCCAGAATGTCCTATAGTTGGAATCACACAGTATGTAGCCTTTTTCAAACTGATTTCTTTCATTTAGCAATACTCATTTATACTTCCTTCAGGTCTTATTATGGCTTGATAGCTCATCTCTTTTTATCCATCAATAATATTCTATTATATATATGTTTGTTTTTACCATTCACCTATTGAAGGACATCCTGGTTGCCTCCAGTTTGGGGCAATTATGAATAAAGCCATAATAAACATTCATATACAGGTTTTTATGTAGACATATGTGTTCAACCCAATTACTTAAGTACCTAGGAACATGGTTGCTGGATTGTATGGTAAGAGAATGTTTAATTTTGTAAGAAACTACCAAATTGTCTTCTAGAGTGGCTGCAACATTTTGTATTCCCACCAGCAATAAATGAGAGTTCCTGACAGTTCCTGTTGCCTCGGATCCTTGTTAGCCTCTGGTATTGTCAGATTTTTAGTCATTCTGCTAAATGGTATACAGCGCTATCCCATTGTTGGTTTGATTTGCAGTTTCCTAAAGACATATGATGTTGAGCATCTTTTCTATGTTTATTTGTAATTTATGTATCTTCTTTGATGAGATGTCTGCTTAGATCTTTTGCCATTTTAAATTTGGCTTGTTTGTTTCTTATTGTTGAGTTTTAAAAGATCTTCACATATTTTGGATGCCAGTCTTTTATGTGTTTGGCAAATATTTTCTCCTACTGTGTGACTTGTCTTTGCATTCTCTTATCAAGGACTTTCTGAGATCAGAAGTTTGTAATTTTTAATGAAGTCCAATTTTTCAAGTATTTCTTTCATGGATCAGGGTTTTGGTGTTGTATAATAAAAGTCATTGCCAAACCCAGGGTTATTTAGATTTTCTCCTATGTCATCTTCTAGTAGTTTACATTTAGGTCTATGATTCATTTTGAGCAAATTTTTATGAAAGGTGTAAGGTCTGTGTCTAGAACCTTCCCTCCCTCCATCTCTCCCTCCCTCCCTCCCTTCCTTTCTTCCTTCCTTACTTTCTTTCTTCCTTCCCTGTTGTTTCTGCATGTGATGTTGCATGTCCACTTGTTTCGGCACCATTTGTTGAAAACACTACCCCTTGCTCCATTGCCTTTGCTACCCTTGAATTGCCTTTGCTCCTATGTCAAAGATCAGTTGACTACTTGTATAGGTCTATTTCTGGTCTCTGTTCTGTTCCATTGATCTGTTCATCTATTCTTTTACTAATACTACACTGTCTTGATTACTGTAGCGTTACAGTAAGTCTTGAATCAGATATTATTGGTCCCCTGACTGTTTTTCCTTAGTACTGTGTTGGCTATTCTGGGTCATTCATCTTTCCATATAAATTTTAGAACCAGTTTGTCAAAATCCACAAAATAACTTGCTGAAATTTTGACTGGGATGGCATTGAATCTATAGATCAACTGACATCTTGGCAATATTGAGTCTTCCTCTTCATAAACATGAAGTATCTATTTATTTAGATTTCTTTTGATTTCTTTAATCAGTTTTGTAGTTTTCGTCATGTAGATCTTATACATATTTTATTAGATTCATAACCAAGTATTTTTAATGCTAATATAAATGGTATTGTGTTTGAAATTTCAAATTTCAGTGGTTCATTGCTGGTATATAGGAAAACAATTGACTTATGTATAAACCTTTTATCCTGGCAAGCTTGCTATAATTGATCATTGGTTCAGGTTTGTTAATTCTTTAGGATTTTTCTATATAAAAATCATGTCATCTGTGAACAAGGACAGTTTTAATTTATTTCTTTCCAGTCTGTGTATATTTATCTCCTTTTCTTGTCTTAGGTCATCAGCTAGAACTTCCAGTACAATGTTGAATAGGAATGATGAGAGAGTACATCCTAATCTTAGGGGGAAGACATCCAGTTTCTCATCATGAAGTATGACAGTAGCTGTAGGTTTTTTATAGATGTTCTGTATTAAACTGAGGAATTTCTCCTCTATTTCTAGTTTGCTGAATTTTTATCGAGATGGAGGTTGGATTTTGTCAAATGCTTTTTATCCATTTATTCATATGAGCATATGATTTTTTCTTTAGCTTCTTGATGTGACAGATTATATTTATTGATTTTGAATGTTTTTTAAAACTGTACAGATACTGTGATGATTTTAATTGCATATGAAATTAACTTCGTTATCTTCAGGCTTATCACATCAAAGGTTTACTTGCAAAATTGGACCTTTGTTCTTATTCAGTAAATCCGTGTTACAAGATGAGCCAGGATTTAGATATGTAAATATATGTAACTTTTTAGTATCTTTCATTTCAAATTAGAACTACATATTTGGAATTTACTGCTGTAGTCTCGTGTTAATGGCTGACATGAGAAGACATTAAAAAAAATCCTGAAGTTATCCATGCTTGCTGTTTATTTAGTCTTCTTGTTTGGAACAAAAAGTAAATAATTCACAAATACTACCACCTAAGCCCCTGTTTCAAATGAAACATCAGTCTTCAGCTTGCAAAATAATGTCTTTATAATTAAGGAAATAGCAGCAGAAAACCTATGCTAGTTGCTTTTTTCTTCCTGGAGAAGTTGACAGGATAACTGCAATCCTAGGGGCATCTCTGTGTTGAATCTGAGACGTGGAACAAAAAGAAAAGTGGCCTTTTCCATTCCAAGCCATGGAGGTAATGTGTAGAGAAGAGACAACCACATTTCAAGAAGAGAGAAAGTAACTGGATAAAAGAAGCAGGACTGCCCGCTTTAGGAGACAACATAGAGATACTTGCCACGTCCCGAGTTCAGAATTTTTTTTTTTTTTTGAGATGCATATCAAGGCACCTAAAGTTCGAGAAAAGATGTTCTTCCTGTGTTAAGGAAGCTGCACTGGGGTTAATTTAAAAAGATGTCAGAAGTCGCAGAGAAGCGGTTCTCAAGCTTTTATGGAACACTGTCCTGTTTGAGAATCTGCTGATATTATGGACCTTCTTCTTTCTACAAAAATGTGTAATTGTGCATAAAATTTCCAATAGTTTATAGTCACCTACTTAAGACCTTTGCTTTAGAGTAGATTATTACTCCCCGCTGTAAGGTAGGGAAGAAAAATATTCCATTCCTTTCCTCTGGTTGATATCTTTTTTTCTTCTCCTTGCACAGTCCAACAGACACACTCGGCCTCCCAGAAAGCAGCTGGCCCCCTGGCCAAGAGGCCAGTTTGCAGCATCGTGATCATTCCACCATCTTTGCTGCCATTTGAATCTTGAATCAGCTTTGCGTACCTGTAATAAATTCCACTTAGCCATGGCATGTAGTTTTTTAAAAATACATTGTTGAATTTGATTTGCTAATGTTTTGCTGAAGATTTTTGTATTTATGTTCTTGAAAGATGTTGATCTGAAGTCTTCCTTTCTTGTAATTTCTTTATCTGGTTTTGATATTAGGGTAATGCTGGACTCACAGAATAAGTTAAGAAGTGTTCTGGAAGAGATGATAGAGAATTAGTATCATTTCTTCCTTAAGTGGTACAGTTTACCAGTGAAATCAGCTGGACCTGATGTTTTCTGTTTTGGAAGGTTATTAATTCTGGTTAAATTTTGTTAAAGATACAGGCCTATCAGATTGTCTATTTCTCTTTGTGTGAGTTTTGGTAGATTGTGTCCTTCAAGTAAATGGTCAATTTCAATTAAGTTATTAAATTTTGGACATAGAGTTGTTGATGCTCTTTTTATTTTTTTCTTTTTTCTTCTGTGTAATTATGGGTAATTTCTATGTCTTCAAGTTCACTCATCTTTTTTTCTGCGATGTCTCATCTGCTTTTAATCTTAGACAATATATTTTTCCTCTTAAACATTATAAATTTTATCTCTAGAAGTTTGATTTGGGTATTTTGTATATCTTCCATATCTCTACCTAATGTTGAATTTATAGAGTATAATTTTCATAACTGTTTTAATGTCCTTTGATGATTTTTTTTTTTTTTTTGAAATGGAGTCTTGTTCTGTTGCCCAGGCTGGAGTGCAGTGGCACAATCTTGGCTCACTGCACCTTTGCCTCATGGGTTCAAGCCATTCTCCTACCTCAGCCTCATGAGTACCTGGGATTACAGGTGCCTGCCATGACACCTAGCTTATTTCTGTATTTTTAGTAGAGATGGGGTTTTGCCATGTTGGCCAGGCTGGTCTCAAACTCTTGGCCTCAAATGATCCACCTGCCTTAGCCTCCCAAAGTGCTAGGATTACAGGCATAAGCCACTGCACCCAGCCTTTCTTTGCTCATTCTTACATCTGTGTCAGTTCTTGGTCAGTTTGATTTATTGATTATTGTCCTCATTATAGTTTGTGTTTTTGCCACCTCTATGCATGCTTGATAATCCCTGATGATTGAGTGCCATATGTGAATTTTACTTTGTCAGGTGTTTAATATGTTTGTATTTTTATAAATATGTGCTCTGGAATCCAATTTACTTGGAAATAGTTTGATCTTTCTGGGGTCTTGCTTTTATTATTTGTTAGGAAGGTTTAGAGCAATGCTTAGTCTAGGACTAATTATTCCACATGACTAAAGAAAGACCCTTGTGAGTACTCCACCCAATGATCCGTGAATTGTTCGATTTTAACGTCTGCCTGGTGTCAGTAAGCACTGTTCTTAGCCCTGTGTGAGTGCGAGATACTATTGCTTTGAATCCTTTCAGATGTTTGTTTGTTTGTTTTTTTCCACAGCCTCAGGTTTCTTTTATATTTTGTTTGTTTTAGAGATGAGTTCTCACTGTGTTGCCCAGGCTGGAGTGCAGTGGCTATTCATAGGCATGATCATCACACACTACGGTCTTGAACTCCTGGGCTCAAGCGATCCTCCCACCTCAGCCTCCTGAGTAGCTGGGACTGTAGGCGTGTGCCCACCATGCCTGGCCTAGCCTCAGGTATTTTTATTGCATACATGAGTTGACCAGTACTCTGCCGTTTCCATGAGGGAGACCCACTGCAGATTTCTGGTGCTCTCTCTCTGGGCAGTTACCTTTTCTCTGCAATCTGCTCTAGAAACTCTGCTTTTGTCTCCCTTCCTGGAGTGGAAAATCTTAAGACAAAAAGGAGATCATAGGTAGATATCAAGAAGAATCTAGTAGAAGAAATTTCTTACTCTCATATGCATCCACAGGCCAATGGAGATATTCAGCCCCAGAAAGTAAAAAGAAGCTTGCTTTCCAAATGATTCATCAGTTAGTGTTTTCTTTCAATGAATGGAAGATTTTAACACAAACAAGAGTTTGTAGGCAGACATTGAGAAGAAGCTCTATCTCCTCAATGTAGGGAGTCTGCTGGGATCTGCCTCAGTTCGCCTGCCCTGGGTTATGGTTGGGAAACTCTGTTAATACGGTGATTGGGGAAAATTACAGGGTTTGTCTTATTTTGCATCTCTCAGAGATCACTGTCCTTTGTTGTTGTCTGGTGTCCAGTGTCTTGAAAACTGCTATTTCATTATTTTATTTATATATAAATATATGTATTTTATATATAAAATATTAGATATATGTATATATATATTTGAGACAGGGTCTCGCTCTGTTGCTCAGGCTGGAGTGCAGTGGTGTGATCTTGGCTCACTGCAACCTCCGCCTCCTGGGCTCAAGCAATTCTTCTGCCTCAGCTTCCCAAGTAGCTGGGATTACAGGCACCTGCCACCATGCTGGGCTAATTTTTGTATTTTTAGTAAAGGCGAGTTTTCACCATGTTGGCCAGGCTGGTCTCGAACTCCTGGCCTCAAGTGATCCACCCACCTTGGCCTCCCAAAGTGCTGGGATTACAAGTGTGAGCCACTGTTCCCTGGCCTATTTCATATATTTTTAATGGTTTCTTGGTTGTTTTCAATGGTAGGATAAATCAAGATTCTGTTACTTCATCTTGGCTAGAAGCAGAAATTCTTTAAGTTTTTATTGTGAGAATTTTCAAAGATACAGAGTCGTTAAAAGAATGATACAATGATTATTTGTATACTTAGCACTTGGATTCAGGAACTGTGTGTGTGAGTGTGTGTGTGTGTGTGTGCACGCACGCCTGCCATGTTTATATATTTGCTGGACCATTTGAAACTAAATTGTGGAGGTATCAGGACATTTCACCACTAAATCACTAAACACATTGGCCTGAAACTCCTAAAAATAAGGACAGTCTCCTGCATAATCACACCACCAGTATCACACCTAAGAAGATGAAATCATTCCCTTTATCATCTGTATTAGTTATCTGCTGCTGGGTAACAAAATACTCCAAAACATAGCATTTAACACCACAAATATTTTTTATCTCACAGTGCTCGACGGTTAGAAATCTGAAAGCAGCTTAGCTGGATGGTTCTGGCTCAGAGTCTCTCATGAGGTTGCAATAAAGCTTCCAGCTGAAGCAGACGTCTCCAGGCTTGTTCAGTGGCTGATGTCTGGAAGCCTGAGGTTCTTTCTCCATTGCCCGATCTAGTCTACCTGAGCATTGTCACAACGTGGCAGATGCCTTCACCCAAAGCAAAGGATCTTTGTGTGTGTGTGTGTGTGTGTGTGTGTGTGTGTGTGTGTATGAGAGCGAGAGAGAGAGAGAGAGAGCAAGTACCCAAGACGGAAGCTGTAGTCTTTTATAACCATTCACAGCAGTGACTTACCATCACTTCTGCAGTATGGTATTAGACACATAGACCAATCCTAGTGTAATGCAGGAAGGACTATGTATGAGTGTGGGGGTGGGGATCACTATGGCCCATCTTGGAGGCTGGCTACCTCACCATTTAATATCTGATTCATCTTCAAATTTCTCCAAATGGCCTAAAAAAAAAAAAAAAAAACACAGAAAAACCAAAAACCAGGATCCATTGCATTTGGCTGTTGTATCTCTTTGGTCTTTCTAATCTATGACATTGGCTTTTTGAAAAGGCCAGTCTTCTAGAACGTCCCACAGTCTAGGCTTGCTGATTATTTCCTCACTTGACTTGTTCCTCTATCCCCTGTATTTCCTATGGATTGAAAGTTTAGTCTACAGGCCTTTTAAATTCAGGTTAAACATCCTGCCAGGGAGATATCATAGCCAAAGCTATGTACTTCACCCGGAGGCGTATGTCAGGAGGGATTGCTATTGGCGACGCTGTTTGATCATTTGGTTCCAACTGCTTCTTAAACAGACTTTCAACCAGACTACCTGCTTTAAGTCCCATCTTCATGCCTCTTTCAGAGGTATTTGGTGCCTTCAATTCCTGAGGCCTTCTGGAGACTTGCAGTGCTAATCGGCCAGCTTCTGAGCTTCCCCACTAGTAGCCTAGGTTTCTGCTTCCTCTGGTCTGCTAAAACAGTTATTATCCATCTAGTTTCATTAGTTTTGTTGCTCTCATCTCCTCTTCTCACTGGAACCCTCTGAATACCTCCTCTAGGCATCTGTTCAGCTATGACTACATGGTTCAAATATTTTAAAGAAAGCTGCCTTTGGTTATATATCTTTTCATAGTTCCTGTTTAGAGATCACTGTCCTTTGGTTTTGTCCCAAACCAAACAAAACCCACATGTTGACTCTCATTTTGATGAACTCCATGGGGTGGCCCTCATTCTTGGGTCAGGGTAGCAGTTTCCAGATTCACTTACTAAGATCTACAAAGGATTAGTAAGTAGCCCTGTGAGGAAGGAATTTGAGGCTCCATTTTAGAGATGCAGAAATGGATAAGGTCAAGTCTCAATGTCAGTACATGGCAGAATCCAGATTTGGAACAAGATCTGCTTGCCTCAAAGTCTTTGCACCAGAGTGTAGTTGCAGTGAATATCACTTTAAATAAATGGAAGCCACTTATTAGAGGTGTTAATCTCTCTCCAGGTAACAGGAATTTATGATTGAGCCATGAATTTGTGTCTTACTAACTTTGTGCTCTTGGATGAGTTTCTTTGCCTCTTGGAGCCTTAGTTTTTTCAACTATGATGTGAGTTGATAGTACGTAACTCACAGAGGTTTCTTATGGGCTAAAGAAGATGCTGCTGCTTGCGAACGGGTTTCATGTAGCATTCTAAGGATATAAAATACAGAAGCTGACTCCCATGCCTATTGATTCCAGCCTGGAGATGGACATAAATACTACTGTGGGGACTGTGGGGGCTAGAGGCCACATGCTAGTTGCCATTGAAAAGGATGGGGGCAGCTGCAGTTCCAGCTCTTCCAACACGTGAGAACTTGAGCTCGGGATATAGATCTGATTTTCCAAGAGGAGCCAAAAGCCTCAATTTGTTTATGAACTCTCCTGATTGTTAAATGTTGGCATTTAATTGAAACAGAAATCGTGGGGACTACACAAAGTTTTTGGCTGCAGGTGACAGTTTTGGCAGCAAAGCTCCCATGGTGCCAGGCTCTGTGCTAGGGTGGCTGGGGACAAAGGCAAGTCAGTCGGTCCTCCCTGGGAGGCTGCGATCCAGGAGAGCAGCCTTCCATGGAAAAGGGGCACTATAATAGGATTTAGTGAAATGGGATTTGACCCACATTATCCTTGAGCTCCTTAGGCGTGGACCTGCAGAACGCTTTTTGTAGCTGAAATTGAAAAAGTAAAACAATTTGCAGCAGGCAGAGCGAATGTCTTGGGAAACGTTTCTAGGGCTTTCATGTTTCCTGAGGGCTTCCCCTATCTCATTTGAGTTATTCCATTAAATGAGCAATAATCCTATTTTCCTGGGCAGGGGGCACTAAGGCTGATAGAAAATAAGGGTCTGAGAGTCATACAAGCTGGGAAAAGGGAGAGGCCAGCCTGGGACCCAGGCTCAGGTAGGGAAGGGGAATTGGGGCCTGACAATATTTGAACCCCTAATGTTCGTACTGATCTCATTGGATCTCCCAGGCAACCATGTAAGGTCAATCTTATCCTCACTTTATAGCATTAACTGAGGCTCAGAGGGATGAAATGACTATTCAAAGACACAAACCCAAGACACTCAGGAAGGTACAAAAATGTCCATGCGCTCCTGAAATCATCTGCAAAATGTTTTATGTTTGTACTTGTATCCATTTCCCAGGGTAAGGAGCTTAAAACTTTCAAAGGATTCTCCAAGGGGTCAGTGATTCTCAAAGATTAAGAGCCACTAATTTAAGCCAAGGCTATTCTGATTCCAAAGCCTGTTCTCTGAGGCCCCCTGTGCCAGACTCTGGTTAAGAGAACGTTCTTTAAAGTCAAACTCATATAAAACCCAGATCGTACTAGCTGTGAGACCTTGTTTCCTCATCTATAAAATAGGGATTCAGCCAGGCGTGGTGGCACACACTTTTAGTCCCAGCTGCTTGGAAGGCTGAGGTGGGAGGATGGCTTGAGCCCAGGAGGCAAGGCTGCAGTGAGCTGTGATTGTGCCACTGCACTCCAGCCTGGGTGATAGAACGAGACCCCGCCTCTTTAAAAAAACAAAAAAAAAAAGGATTCATTTATTTCACAAATGCTTTATTGAGCTCCTGGCTCTGATTCAGACACCATTCTAGGTGCTTCGGACACAGCAATGAATTAAACAGTGTCTCTGCTGTCATTATTCTTTTTTTTTTGAGATGGAGTTTTGCTCTTGTTGCCCAGGCTGGAAAGTGCTATGATGCGATCTCGACTCATCACAACCTCCGCCTCCTGGGTTCCAGTGATTCTTCTGCCTCAGCCTCCTGAGTAGCTGGGATTACAGGCATGGGCCGCCACACCCAGCTAATTTTGTATTTTTAGTAGAGATGGGGTTTCTCCGTGTTGGTCAGGCTGGTCTCAAACTCCCAACCTCAGGTGATCTGCCCACCTCAGCCTCCCAAAGTGCTGGGATTACAGGCATGAGCCACCGTGCCCAGCCCTGTCATTATTATATTCTGTGGGAGGATAAAGACAACAAGCAAGCAGATATTTGTGACATGGTGGTAAGTGGTACGGAGGGAAATGAAGGGGTCAGTGGGGTGGGGCATGCTTCAGGGCTGGGGCTGCGTATTTTAGTGTATTCACAGAGTTGTACCGTCATCACCACTGTCCATTTTAAAGCATATTGATTACCTCAAAAAGAAACCCCATTCTTTTAGGCATTACCCAAGCCCCATAATAACCCCTCCACTTCTGCCCTAAGAAACTACTTATTTCTGTCTCTCCATGGATTAGCCTATTCTGGATGTCTCATAAAATGCAATCATGTAATCTGTAGTCTTTTGTGACTTGAAGCTTCTTCGTATAGTCTGGGTATAAGAGTTTTAAAAATCTGATAGACAGTTTGCAAATATGTTCTCTCAAGTCTGTGGGTTTTGATTTCCTTCTCTTAGCAACATCTTTTGAAGAGCAGGATTTTGACGAAGTCGAATTTATCAACTTTTTCTTTCATGGGTCATTCTTCTAGTGTTATAGCTAAAAAAAAACTCTGCCTAATCTATGATCACAAAGATTTCCCCCTATGTCTATGTCTTCCTTTAAAGGTATTTTTTTCTAAAGAGAGACCAGAAATCTGTTTTCTATGTGCGACGTCTCAATTTGTAAGATTAAAACGAAACACATTAAAAAAGCAAACAGACATGTATATGGGCTAGAAAAGGGCCATAGACTATCAGTTCTCATATATTAGTTTATATTGCATGCAAAATTGCTTATATTTGGCCATTTTTGATCTATAAAAACAGCAGTTTCATGCTAATGGCCTTTGTAGGTTAAGTTGTAGGTAATCCAAGTGAGTCACAGGTGTGCATGGGTATCACCACTAAATCACTAAACACATTGGCCTGAAACTCCTAAAAATAAGGACAGTCTCCTGCATAATCACACCACCAGTATCACACCTAAGAAGATGAAATCATTCCCTTTATCATCTGTATTAGTTATCTGCTGCTGGGTAACAAAATACTCCAAAACATAGCATTTAACACCACAAATATTTTTATCTCACAGTGCTCGATGGTTAGAAATCTGAAAGCAGCTTAGCTGGATGGTTCTGGCTCAGAGTCTCTCATGAGGTTGCAATAAAGCTTCCAGCTGAAGCAGACATCTCCAGGCTTGTTCAGTGGCTGATGTCTGGAAGCCTGAGGTTCTTTCTCCATTGCCCGATCTAGTCTACCTGAGCATTGTCACAACGTGGCAGATGCCTTCACCCAAAGCAAAGGATCTTTGTGTGTTTGTGTGTGGTCTGTTTGTTTATTTGTTTTCTGGTCGAGGCCCTTGGGTTTGCTGAGCCTTCCCTATTATAGATGAAAAGACCAAGGCCTAATGAGGGGAAACGTCTTGCCTGAGGACACCCAGCCATTCTCTGCTTAGATGCATATGCATTATGAAACCCAAAGGTCCTCTGGCACTGTGCGCTCCAGAACAGAGCCCTCCGCAAACACTGTATTTGAGCTTCACATTTGAAATATGGATTTGAGCATTGTAATAAACAGAACAAAAACCCTTGGATATATTGCATACTAAATGTTAGCATCTGGAGATGGCCAGCACAGTTTCTTCTGCCATTAACTCAGTTGTCAGTAAGTTTGACACTGAAGTTTGTCCTGCTATCTCTGTACAAGTAAAGAGGACCCTAAAAATTGCAAGCAAAGCAAGGTTCTAAATACTGCTAGGATTTTCAACTCCTATTACTTGTTGACCTGGGATTTTCTTAATATATTTGCAACTTTAAATGTTTAAAAGTTTTGAAGCTTAAAGTCAGTGCTGAGGTTGAGACATGACTAAATCTGTCATCCATGATATCTAATTTCTTTGTTTGTTTGTTTGTTTGTTTTTTCAGACAGAGTCTCGTTCTGTCACCCAGCCTGGTGTGCAATGGTTCACGCCATTCTCCTGCCTCAGCCTCCCGAGTAGCTGGGATTACAGGTGCCCGCCACCACGCCCAGCTAATTTTTGTATGTTCGGTAGAGACGGGGTTTCACCATGTTGGCCAGGCTGGTCTCAAACTCCTGACCTCAAGCGACCCACCCGCCTCGGCCTCCCAGAGTTTTGCGATTACAGGCGTGAGCCACCACGCCCAGCGGAATTTCTTATTCTTTTTGATCTATCAAAACAACCTCATTGTTCTCAATGACTGACCTTATAATAAGTAAATGTTATAGAACATACAGTGTCATTTTCCTTTTCCAGTAGAGGAAGATTACATTTCCCAGAGTTTCTTGCCTTTGAATAGAGGCCTGTGACTGGATGCTGAGGGCCCCTGGGATGTGGGCAGGCATGGAGTTTGTGGCTTCTTCCCCTTACACAGAGGCCAGAGCTGTATCATGGCAGAACCACAGATGGTGGGAGGGTGGGTCTCTGGACCACTGGTTGAGGGGTGGAGAAGATCTGTTAAGAAGAGTTCCCTGACCTGCACCGAACAGTGACAGGAGCAAGAAGCAAACCTTTGTGTGTTAAGCCACTGAGATATTGGGGTTTATTTATTACAGCAGATTCTGGTCTATCCTGACTAATACTGGATCAAACAAATAACATTTCTTGCAAATCAAAACCACAATGAGATACCATCTCACGCCAGTTAGGAAGGAGGTTATTAAAAAGTCAGGAAACAACAGATGCTGGCGAGGCTTTGGAGAAATAGGAACACTTTTACGCTATTGGTGGGAGTGTAAATTAGTACAACCATTGTGGAAGACAGTATGGTGATTCCTCAAGGATCTAGAACCAGAAATACCATTTGACCCAGCAATCCCATTACTGGGTATATACCCAAAGGATGATAAAGCATTCTACTATAAAGACACATGCACAGGTATGTTTATTGCAGCACTATTTACAGTAGCAAAGACTTGGAACCAACCCAAATGCCCATCAATGATGGATTGGATAAAGAAAATGTGGCACATACACACCATGGAATACTGTGCAGCCATAAAAAATGAGTTCATGTCCTTTGCAGGGACATGGATAGAGCTGGAAACCATCATCCTCAGCAAACTAACACAGGCACAGAAAACCAAGCACCGCATGTTCTCACTCATAAGTGGGAGTTGAGCAATGAGGACACATGGACACAGGGAGGGGAACATCACACACCGGGGCCTGTTGGGGGGTGAGGGGCCAGGGGAGGGATAGCATTAGGACAAATACCTAATGCATGCGGGGCTTAAAACCTAGATGATGGGTTGGTAGGTGTAGCAAACCACCATGACACATGTATACCTATGTAACAAACCTGCACGTTCTGCACATGTATCCCAGAGCATAAAGTAAAATAAAAATTAAACACAAGTAACATTTCTAATAAAACACAGCTCTTATCTGTTCTATGTTTTGGGTTCCATGTATTGTTTATTGAAAAGTAAAAAAGTTTTCTGCTACAAAAGGTATCAAAATCAGCAATTGAGTTTGAAGTCAGAATCTTACAGGTAGGGAACTCAAGGGCTGGAGAGGAGAAATAATTTGTCCAGGGTCACATAGCTGAGGCAGGGCTAAAATCTCGCAGAGGGACATCTGTAGTTTTATCCTGTCCTTTCTTTTGGTAACAGCAGCTGAATTTCCTCATCTTCCTGCTCAGGCCACATGCTTCATATGGGACTCATTCTCATCCCTCAGCTCCAGGCCTGGTGAATCTATATCGTCTATCACCCAAGCCTCAGTGATTAGCTTGAGGATGGATGCATGACCCAGTCCAGACCAATCACAGCGAATCCCTGGATTTTTGCTGGAGCTGCTCTCCGTGGATAGTTGAATCAATAGGATATAAGTCTGGAGCTCCTGGGTGCTATCTCAGTATCTCTAGGTTGAGAATGCAGCTAACACAGAGGAAAGCAGAGCTGAAATGTGGAGAGAGCCCGACGATGCTTGATGGTGTTTGAGCACCTGGATCCAGCCATGCCTGAAGTTGGAACTTTTAGTTACATGAACCAATAAGTTCCCTTTTGGTTTATGTCAGTTTTGATTGGTATTCTGACTTACACATACGGTTTTGTGCTTTTTTTCACCAAGGGACAGGAATTACTGTATTTTTCTGTTTTACTGATAAGGAAATGGAGGCTCAGTCCATTTGTAATCAGATGCTTCAAGTCTCACCAGATTCAAGGCTTGATGACCTCTCTTTTGTGTTGGGAATGCCCCACACAGGAACTCTTGTTTGCTTCTGCCCCCTGCTTCCGTGCAGACACACTCTATCCTGTTTCACAAGGGGGTGGTAAACCACTACAGAGTAGGTACGAAAACATCGCTGAAATGAAATAAGGAAAGAATACCCCTTTAAAGAAACGGTGTAAAGTGTATAATGAGGCGATTCATCAAAAAATGCAAATGACTTAGCCCTAAAAGATACCAACTTCACTAATAATTAAGAAATACAAATAAAACAGCTATCATCTTTCACTCATGAGTTTGTCAAAGAGCTAAAGGTTTCCTGACAGCTGAGGGCAGGGAAATAGTCTCTTTCCTGGGCTGAGGCAGTAGGAGGGGAAGGGGCACAGCCTCTTTGGAGGGCACTGTGGCAATGTCTGTGAAATGTAAACAGTGTACAAGCCATTTGCCCTCCAGTTTAGAATGTATTCTACAAAGAAACTCCAACAAATACGCAGAGATGCAAGTAAAAGACTGTCCAGTAGAGAATTATTTTTAATAGCAAAAACCAAAACCAAAACAAAGAAAACAAAACAAAACTGGAAACAAATGCCCACCAAAATGGGTCTACACGAACCCCAGTACATCCAAGACATGGAAGATATTTTAGCTGCAAAAAAGAATGAGGTAGCCCCAGATGTGTGGGGGTGGAAAGGTGCCCAGGGTATACCATGTCGTTAGGGGAGAACCGGATGTGTGATATGATGCTATTTATGCTGAAAATGAAATCTTACCAGAGTTAAGATGAAGATAAGTTGTGAAGTAGAATTAGGGGGTCAGGGGACTTCTGTTTTCAATGAATTAATCTTTACAATTTGATTTTTTAAAATTATGAAAATAAGCACCTTACTATTTGTTTACTCATTTGAATACCCAATAATGCACAAAAATTCAGAAGGCACAAGGTGGAGATGTATAATTCTGCAGGTCTCTCAACTATCTGATACAGAATTAATTTATTCCCGGCATGCATTTAGTGTATTTAGAAGAAGGAGGAGAAGTGAGTGAGAAAGGGTGGGGGACACACGCAGCGGCTGCTCTGCGGTCGGCAGCTGTGGTCAGGTGTGGAGGTGGGCTGCCCTTTTTGGGGTCACTCTATCCTTGGTTTCCTGGCATCAGGCCTTCCTAACCCCGCTGGAGCAGTAGTGAAGGACTTTGGTGATGCCCTGCCCATGGCTCCTGGCTGTGGTTCTTCTTGGTCTGGGTCCCACATCTCAGGGCTACAGGCAGTGAGGCGCTGGAATCCCCCAGGACTGTCCTGCTTCTTGCCAGCTCCCCTCCAGCCAGGCCTGCCTGGCGGATGCCCAAACACTCATCAGGCAAGACAGGTCTGTAGGCAAATATTGATCCCTGTGCGGCTGCGGGCGGTGAGGGGGCAGCAGGTGTGGCACAGAGTCCTGTTTACCTGCCGCTGAGCCTGGCGGGCGCTGCCTATTTGCTGAGCTCCCTTCCCGGCCTGGCTCAGGTGAGGCGAGCTCTGCCCTCTGTCTCCCTCCCTCCTCCCTCTGCTGTGCTGTTCAAGGGGGCTAGTCATTCTTCCCACCTCTTTGCTGGGCTGACTGCTGCTCGTTCTTGTGTCTCAGCTTCCACACTCCCTCTTCAGGGCCTCCCTGTCTACCCTCACTCCAGAGTGGCCGTTGCCGCGGCCCACAGTTCCCCACCTACCAGGTTAGTGTTGCTGTTCTCTGCTAGATGCCAGATGAGCAGAGACGGGGACAGTTTTGCTCACCACTATTTCTCCAGCCCCTCCGTTAGGGCCTGGCACTCGGGAGGTGCTCCTCAAGTATTTGAGTGTCAGCCTGAATGAAGGCAGGCAGAGAGCCCTGCATGGACAAAGGCACAGAGGTGTGACAGAGGGTAGTGAGGGGAGGGGGGCGGTGACGATGTGTGGTGGGGAGCGGCAGGACAGGAGGCTGGAAAGTGAGGTGGGGTACTGAGCACCTCCCTGTCCTCCCCTTACTCTGAAAGCCTTTGAATGCCACATCTGGGAGTTCAGATTTTATCTGGTCAGAAATGGGAAATTGTTGGGTAAAGAAAATGCAAATAATACAACCAATGAGAGAATGACAAGCCAGATCCTTCATGCTGAATGGTAAATTCTGAAGTTCCTACAGTGGCCTGTGAGGCCCTGTAGCATCTGCTGCCCACCACACCCCTTCCCCACCTCCTTCCCCTACTCGCTGCAGCCACACTGGCCTGCTTGCTGTTTCCTGAACTTCACAGGTATAATTCAGCCTCAGGGCCTGCTGTGGTCCAACTGTGTCCTTCTGAATCTATGTTGAAACCTAATCCCCAGTGTGAGGGTATTAGGAAGGGGGCCTTTGGGAGGTGAGTAGGTCATGAGGGTGGAGCCCTCACAAATGGAATTAGTGCCCTCATCAAAGAGGCCCACCTTGTCCTTTCCACTGTGTGGGGACATGGTGAGAAAGTGCCATCTGGGAACCAGAAAGCAAGCTGTCTGTCATTAGACACCGAATCTGCTGGTGCCCTGATCTTGGACTTAGCAGCTTCCAGAATGGTTAGAAGTCAATTACTTGTTTATAAGCTTCCCATTTTATGGTATTTTGTTAGAGCAGCCCCAACAGACTAAGGGCCTTTGCACTTGCTGTTTCTCTGCCCAGATGCTTTTCCCTTGGATATCATGGTTTATCTCCTTTCTTTGTTTGAACCTTAGCCTCCTATGGCACCTTACCAGAGAGGCCTTCCATGACACCATGAACAAAGGAGCGTCACCCCATGCCCCCATGCCCTGATCCTGCTTTATTTTCCTCTCTAGTATTTGTGTCTGTTTACTTGTCTAGTGTATGTCTTTTCCCCAGGGATGTCAGCTCTAAGAAGGCAGGAATATGTCATTTCTCTGGTTCCCTGCTGTGTCCTCTGAGCCCAGAACATGTACCTTTAGGCTCAATAAATGCTTGTAGAATAAATGAATGAATGACTGTGTAGTATTAAGCTAAGCCACCCCAGTCCTGGAATGATGTTAACTGTTGCTCACATGCTCTGTCCTGTTGCCAGATCCCACACACAGCTTTGAGCTCCTTTGCTCTGCACATCAGCCAGGTGGGGAGTGCAGGTCAACATTATTATCTGCCTTAAAAAATAATTATCAATGGCAAAAAACATCATGATCACCTGGACAGAAACCAAAATGAAATGCCTGCAGGCTCCTGACTTGAGCAAATCAATTTCTAAAATATGATGTGCAGGAATTGTGACAAAGAGGATGGAGTCTGCATTTCGAGACAGGTTTTCCCTGTGTTCAATTCCCAGCTCAGCTATTTACTTGCTCTGTGACCTGGGACCATTCAGGCCCCTTCTGTGAGCCTCAGCTATCCCTTCTGTCAATGGAGATAATTATTCCCTTGAAGAGATCTAGTGAAGAAGGCA
Organism: Homo sapiens; assembly: GCF_000001405.40. NCBI lineage: Eukaryota > Metazoa > Chordata > Mammalia > Primates > Hominidae > Homo > Homo sapiens. Next base: position 65,876 of record NT_187546.1, read on the forward strand.
TTTGGACATAGGCATTTCCTGGGCTGCACCATCTACTGTGTATCCTTTTTGGTGCCTGCATAATATTCCACCAAGTAGAGTCACAGGCTTTGTTTAATCAGGTGGCTATTTCCAGACGTGGTAACAATAGCCTCTATTTACTGATCCTGCTAAGCGCCAGGCCAAGCACTGCACCTTCCTCATTTCTCCTTCAGTCCTCACTGCAGCCCCATCAGGTGGGTGCTGTTAATATTTCCATTTTGCACATGAGGTTAGGCAGCTTGCCCAAGGCCACGCAGCCCCACTAAATGGAAGATATGGAGTTGAAAGCCAAGTTGTCAAATCCAAGAGCTTTCATCTCTGTGCTTTGGTGGGACTTTTGTCCCCCATTTTGCAGATGGAAAATGAGGCTTGGGGAGGCCAGCAACTTGCCCAGGGCAACAGCGAGCAGAGCTGGGATGAGTCGGAATCCAAGTCTACCAATTGAGATGGAGTCTCACTCTGTCACCCAGGCTAGAGTGCAGCAGCGCAATCTCGGCTCACTGCAACCTCCACCTCCTGGGTTCAAGCAGTTCTCCTGCCTCAGCCTCCCGAGTAGCTGGGACTACAGGCATGCACCATGACACCGGCTAGTTTTTGTATTTTTAGTAGAGATGGTGTTTCACCATGTTGGCCAGGCTGGTCTCAAAATCCTGACCTCAAGTGATCCACATGCCTGGGCCTCCCGAAGTGCTAGGATTACAGGCGTGAGCCACTGCACTGGCTCAAGTCTACCAGTTCTTAACTTGTGCTTTCCTCCAGACCTACCTTCGTACGCTGGGACAGTATCCATGGGTCTCACTTTTCCTGAAGCGGGACAGTTAAGTGGCTGAGGAGGGAGTGGCCCTCTAGTTTCTGCCCCATACCTAGCTGAAGGCTTCAGGATAAGGAGAATAGTCACTGGTGAGCAGAGGAAACCTATTTCTGCTCTGGAAATGGCTCTTCTCTCCCTTTCTCTTCCCCCACCTCCCCCTGCTACCCCCCAGAGTTCTGTACCAATTAATCAGCAGACAATGGAAGCTCCAGCTGGGACCAAGTGGGCTGGACTCATTAGTGCAGAATGACATTAATATCAAAAATCTTCTGAGACAAATGCAATGATTCAGGGCAGACGCCTATGGAGGGCTGGCTCAGAAGCTGGTGTGGGTGATGGTACCGTGGTCCAAGACAGAGAGAGCCGTGCATATGTGGGTGGACAACCAGGCCGGGTCCCCGGGATGCCTGAGGGGAAGAGGGGGCAAAGCAGCTCTGCCTTGGGCAGGGTCCCTGTCCTCTTGTGCAACCTGACTTCTCCCTCCTCCCTGCTTGGGGGGCCTGCATGGGTCACTGAGTCACCGAAACCCTGGGCAGGCTGGAGAGGCAGCGGGGCATGGAGGCCTTCAGGGCTGGATGGGCTGGGGCCGGGTCCCAGCTGCATCTCCTCTCCCCTCTCCCTGTGGCTCCAGCAACTCGCTTCCTGTCTTTGGGCCTCTGTGTTTCTTCATCTCAACTATGGGGTGATGATAGCTGCCTCTCAGGCTGGTGAGAGGATCATGGAATGAGGTGGACACATTTTGTAGAATGTGGACTAGAGGGGAGCGAAGGGCATCTTCACCATCTCCTCCTTCTTCATTGTTCTTTACCGAGTGGGGATAAATATCAAAAGTCTTCCTTTAGGGGCAACAGGAATCAAACCAGCTCCCGCAGGGAGCCTTAGAGATAGAGTTTTGCTTGGTTCCTATGCTCGTCATTTCTTCACTCACTCAGATATTCATTCATTGAGTCATCCACTCACACGTGTACCGAGCACCTCTCACATTGGCATCGATGTGGCACTGGGGATAGAAAGGTGGATGGGACACCATCGCTACCTCGGAGGGACTCTTCGGCTAGTGAGGAGGCTCTTCCTGCCTGGAGGACACGCGTGTGGTCAGGGAGAGCTTTGCAGAGGAGAGGCCACAAAGCTGTCCTTGTGGTTTAAGGAGTTTGCCGGTGGCCTGGGGTGGGGCAGTAGGGACATCATTTATTTGAAAAATATTTATTGACTAACTACTACATGCCAGGCACTGTCCTCAGTGTGGGGACACAGCTGTGGACGGCAGAGATGAAACTCTGCCTTCAAGGAGACGGCTTTCTGGTGGAAGGTCATAGAAGCCACCGAGCAGTGAGGGGGCAGTGGCAGAGCTGCTGTTTCATACCGGCTGGTCAGGACAGGCCTCGGCGAGAGACGCCATCTGGGCAGAGATCTGCAGGGGCCAGGGGAGTGGCCCACAGGGATACCAGGAGCAGAGGGGATGGCGGGACGCATTCCTGAAGTGGAGGAACTCTCTCTGGGCTCCGGGAAAAGCAGGACACCCAAGCTGCAGGGGAGGTGGGGGGCGTGAGGTACGATGGGGTGCGGGGGTGTACCCGGTCATCTCAGGCTTTGTAGGTCTGGCTGCTGGAAAATTACAGGATGCCCAGTTACACTGGAATTTCAGATAAACAGCAAATAATTTTTTAGTATAAGTGTGTCCCACGCAAGTTTGCCTTTCTCTGAAATTCAAAAAAAGATTTTTAGTTCCTAATATCCCTTTCTTCTTTTTAAAACATTGTTTTAATTGACCAATAAAAATTGCATATTCTTATGGCCTACAATATGATGTTTTGGAATATGTATACATTTATGGGATGACTAAATTGAGCTAATTAACATATGCATTACTTTCCACCTTGTTTTTTTTTTTCCTGTGGTGAGAACACTTAAAATCTACTCTTAGCGATTTTCAAGAATGCAGTACACTGTCATTAGCTATGCTGCCACGACGTACCATGGGGCTCTTTCACTTATTCTCCCTAACTGGAACTTTGTGTCCTTTGACCCACAGCTCCCCAATTCTCACTCCCTGTCCGCCAGCCTCTGGTAACCACCATTCTACTTTCTGCTTCAATGAATTTGGCTTTTTCAGAGTTCGCCTGTCCATGTGAGATCACGTGGTATTTGTTTTTCTGTGTCTGGCTTATTTCACTTAACATGTCCTTGAAATTCAAACCTAACGGGCATCCTGCCTTTTTGTTTGTGAAATCTGGCCACCCTAGCTGTGGCCTCTACAAGACTTTGGCTTTACTCTGAGATGGAAGTCACTGGAAGCTTTGGGGTGCAGGAGAGACGGGGCGTGACCAGTTTTAAAGGGTCCTGGGGCGTGAGCGGACTGTGGCTGGCAAGGGGGGGAGCCGCTGGAGGTGAGAGGTGGGATGGAGGCTCCAGGAGGCAGTGTGCAGGTGCTGAGGGGAGTCTGCATGTGTTTTGAAGACAGCTGACCCCATTTGCTAATGGGTTGGTTGTGGGATGGCAGGTGGGGGACATGGAGGACTCCAAGGCTTTTGGCCTGAGCAACCGATAAGATTGCAGGAGGATTGTGTGTGTGTGTTCGCGTGTGCTTTTGGACACGGTTCAGAGATGCCCACTGGACAACCAGGAGGAGACATGCAGTGGGCAGGAGTTCAGAGAGAACTCATTCATTCGTCATCAGCTTGGATGTCATTTAGAGCTGAGCACCTGCCCGAGGGCAGAGGAGGTGTGTAGGTAGAGAAGCAGCCCTACTCCAACATCTGCAGAGGCCTGGAGGCTGGAAGGCCCTGGTGCACACTGATAGTCAGGCCCATGTAGTGTGGGAAATGAGACCGGCATGGCCTGGAGGCAGAGAGAGCCATGAGGAGTTCCAAGAAGGGGAGTGACTAGTCAGATGTGTGTGTTTTAGAAGGGTGCCTCCGGGGCAGGGTGGAGGGGATGGAGCAAGGCCAGGAGGGCAGAAAGGGGACTGTGGCACCAGCCCTGCCCCAGCACAGCAGCCGGGGACTTGGTGGGGGGTGGTGCAGGGAGACACAAGGGAGGGTGGTTTGTGTGTGGCGCTGCGGACAGGGCTGGGCAGCAGGATGGATGTGGGGTGCAGGAGGACGGCTGGGGGCAGAGAGAGAGGCTTTTGAATTTGCCTCAGAGGAGTGCAGGGTGTCCCCACCCCACCCCCAGCAGCCCACGGCCGCTGTGCTTGTTAGCAAGGAACACTCCTCAGAGGGAACATATGTGCTGTTATTTTTAGGTGATTAGCCGCACGTCGTGGAGCGTTTGTTTGCCAGTCGTGGGTAAACAAAAGCCATTTGTCAAAATGAGATGTTCCAGCCTCGTCCTCCCTTCGGCAGGCCAGTCCCCGCACTGTGAATTCCTGTTGCATCAGCAGTGAAGCTAATTAGCTCCTCGGCTCTTGAATAATAATGGCCACATTTACCGAGAGATTTCTGTGCACGAGGAGCCCTGCAAATGTGATCTACGCAAGAATCACAGGTGCATCTTATTGGCTCCAGTTTGGAGTGGGGGAAACTGAGGCTCAGGGAGGTGGAGCGGTTTGCTCAAGGCCCCACAGCTAGGAAGTGAAAGCTCTGACATTCTCAGATCTGAATGACCCCCAAGCCTGAGATGGGTGAGGGGGCTGCTCTGTTCTTCTGGAATATCTCCCCTTCCCCATCCTGTGAGCAGAAACTGAGCAACATCACAAGCAGCCTAAGGTAATTAGACTATCATTCCTTGTATGGAGTTCAAATCTTCATTGCATCCAAGGTATCTGCTCTGTTTCTCACTTCTGAGTCCTGCACGTGCTAACCTTTCCAATCTCTGGGCTTTGGACAGCCACAGTGAGTCTGAGGTTTGTTTCTGCCACTTCAGGTCTAAGTATGAGCTTGGGCAGGTCTCTGAGATGAAGTGTGTTGGGGCTCATTGGCCAGTGCTCCTGAAGTCAATACCATTGGAAGGGAGCGGGGAGGAGCAGGCTGGGCAAAGGGGGAGGCTGACCTATGATGCTATCTCAGCAGAAGCCTCAGCTGGCCTGAGGATGGGATGACCCCTCAGGACTGTCCCGAGTCAAAGCAAAAGTTCGGGTACTTGGCACCCCACATTGGTGCCAGGGACCCCACATTGGGTCATTGGATGTAGGCCTCCCTGGGAATGGAGCATGAGGGCTGTCAACTTTCTGCAGGCAGTACTCCCAGCAGCTGGGGTAATAAGTCCTTTATTCCTGCAGAGGGACCTGGGTGGCACCTTACAGAGTCCTTCACAGTCACCTCTTGGATCCACTTCATGTAAGTTCTGCGAGAAGCTCTTCTAGGAGGCAACTTGAAGAGGAAAATTACTGGGATGAACTCCAACCCCTACCTCTGAAGTTTTGGGGTCTCAGGGCTGCAACTGACATCCTCACCTGCCCACTCCACTACCCATTATAGACCACCTCACTCTCAGACGACATCTCTGTTGGTCTCCTGATTACCTGAGGGAACTGAGACCCTGGTCACCATGCTATTTTCAGGCCAGGGTTGCTACACTTGTCAACTTAACATCAAAATTGGGCAAGGGAGTACCAAGAAGCACCCAAGGGCATCGCCTGGATGTCAAACATATTCCTCCCAGACCCCATATGCAACCGCTTCTGGATGCCAGGATGCGACTCCTCTTCTTACCGCTGGCCCCTTGATGCAAGGACAAGAAACCCAGAGTGCCAAGGAGGCGACTGTGCTTCGACTTTGAGGGACTCTGGCTGTGCCACCTTGCAGAAGTATTTTCTCTTTGGGAACAAGGACCTCTAAACTTACGGAACCCAGAGTTGAGGGACAGAAAGCACAAATTCTTTAAGTGGGCCACTGGGCCACTTAAGCTTCTACCCCTAGGTTCCTAGACCCGTGTATTCTGCCCAGTGGGGATGCAGTGCCATATATAGTATTTGATTTGAAGTGATACTGCATCTTGGAGGATGGTACTGAAACCTTGTGAAGGCTTGTTTCTGAACTGGCATTGCAGCTCTGTCTTCATCGGGCCAGCAGCTTTGGGGTCATGTGGTGTGCAGTATTAACAGTGGATCCCTGGTCATGGGCCAGCCCACTCCCGCCCCTGCAGGGTTATTGCTATAAGATGGGCTGTTGAGTCAGAAGTGATGTTATGTGGCATCCTGTGCCAGTGAATCAAACACTTCATAGACCCTTGAGCAGAGAATCCATGGGCAGGAAAGGCAAATCTCTATCTGGAACTGGTCTCTATTCCTGATCTTTCAGGAGAGGGTCCAATGTAGTCATCTGCCACATGCCAAGCCAAACCAATCTCAGTTTTATCCTCTTCAGCTGGTGACATGGGAGTCCCCCATGTGGCCATTCGAATGAGCTGAGGCTGCTGGTGCCTCAGTGGGGATGATGTGGGGTCTGGGCTACCTGCCGTGTAGCTTGCTGGTGTCCTCAAGGCGTGCTCATGTTTGACCCGGGATGTCCCCACCATGTTAGATTGATTGATTGGGTCTGGCAGACCCAGCTCATGACAGGCAGTTCCAGCTGCCTGATCACTCGGTGTCTCATGTCTGGGTGTTGTGTGTCACATGAGGGCTAGTAGCACAGGCACACCAGGACCTGTTTTCAGAAGGTGAATAATCCTTTGCTGCTAATTGTAATTCACTCCCAAATTTTAGGGAGTCTCCAGATCCTAAGGGATTCTCCCACTGGAGCTTGCATTCTTCACTGGCATCTCTTCCTATCACTCACATGGCTGACACCATAGGGTCTGCTGAGTACTGTATGGCTCAAGGGATGGGGTTGATGGCTCCAGCAGCCTGACACTTTTGCAGAATCCTTTCTTGCTCTGGGCCTTGGCAGCCTTTCATGGCATTGGCATATGGGGTTGGAGCAGTATTCCTAGCTATGAAATATGTTGCCTCCAGATCTACCTATCAGGTGTTAGGATTTCTTCTTCATGGTGGGAGGTAAAAGATTAAATAATTTATCTTTGCTTTGTAGGTATGTCCCAGTATTCACCAGACCATTGAATTCCTAGAAATTTTACTAATGTGGTGGCCTCTCGATCTTCAGTAGTTTTCTCTCTCACCCTTTGGCTTCCAGCATGCTAGGTACCGCTTGTCTATCTGCCTGATCAGCATGATGACATCAGTGTACTGGATCAGTGTGATGTTCTGCAGGATGTCCGATGATCCAGATCTTTTTGGATGGTCATGACAGAGCTCTGATGAAAGTTGTGAATGTATACTGTTGTCCCTTCCATGTGAATGTGAACTCTTTCTGATTCTCTTTCTTGATTGAGATGGAAATGAGCATATTCACCAGATTAATGGCTTCATAACATGTACCTGAATTCAATTTTTTTTGAGATGGAATCTCACTCTGTCACCCAGGCTGGAGTGCAGTGGGGCGTGATCTTGGCTCACACAACCTTTGCCTCCCAGGTGAAGTGATTCTCCTGCCTCAGCCTCCTGAGTAGCTGGGATTACAGGCGTGAGCCACCATGCCTGGCCAGTTTTTGTTATTTTTAATAGAGATGGGGTTTATCATGTTGACCAAGCTGGTCTCAAACTCCTGACTTCAAATGATCCACCAACCTCAGCCTCCCAAATGCTGGGACTGTAGGCATGAGCCATTTCGCCTGGCTCCCTGAATTCATATTAATCTTCTCTAGCAGCAATACCACACCTAGCAAGGAAGCTGCAATGGGGCTACTAGTTGTTGCACTTCTGGTAGTTTCCATGGGGAACAGACTGGTGAATTAAATGGGACTATAATAGGAATGATCATCCATGCATCTTTTAGATCTTTAAGAACAGCACTCATCTTTGCCATCCCCTGGGATGTAATACTGCTTTTTATTTGCTATCTTGGCCAGAAGGGGGAGTTTCAGAGGCTTCCACTTGGATTTCCCCACTATGATAGCTCTTACCTCACAGGATAAAGGGCTTGTGTCAATTACTAAGTATGTCAATTACAGTTATACATTTGGAGACCACTGAGGGTGGGACCTTGGACTGTGGGTGAGCTGGACCTAAGCTAGAACTCCATTTATCACCTGGCTCCCTTAGGAGGGGCCATGCTAATGCTCTGGGTTTCCCCTTCCCCAGTACACAGTTACCTGAGTAACGTTGGGAAGAAATGGAGGAATCCTCGCTGTGTGCAGTCATGGGGTTCTTCCTCCTGGGGACATAGGCTTTCTGTCAATCAAGTTTCCACGTCCAAGAACTTGCTCAGGGATGGACATTGGGGAAGGGATTTTTACTTTTTTTTAAATTAAGGTGACTGTCCTTAGCTTCCCAGCCATCCATCCGTGCTGTTTTTGATTATGCAGATACAGTAGTATCCTTGTTGGCTCCATATCTATGTGGCCCCTAGGGGTGCCAAGTTCTATTCACTCCACAGGTCTCTGTAGGTCAGGCTCCCCTGGCCTCCTCTCTACCCTACCACTCACCACAATGACATCTTCCTGCCTTCTGATGGTGCCATGGTCTGAATGTTGGTGTCTCCCCAAAATTCATACGTTGAAACCTGACCACCAATGTGAGGGTATCAGGAGGTGGGGCCTTTGGAAGGCGATTGGGTCATGAAGGTGGAGCCTCATGAATGGGACTAGTGCCCTAATGAAAAGATGTCCCAGCATGCTGCCCTGCCTGTTCTACACTCTGAGGACACAGTGAGAAGGCACCATCTATGAGCCAGAAAGTGGGCCTTCAGCAGACACCAAATCTACTTTGATCTTGGACTTCCCGGCCTCCAGAACTGTTAGAAATGAATTTCTTTATAAGCCACCCAGCCTATGGCATTTTGTTACAGCAGCACTAAGGTAGATGGCTTCTAGTTTTCCAAGGTCCTTGGGATCATTTCTGTGAGTAAGCCTGGTTGTACAGTGGCAATTCCTCCTGCCAGCCCTGGTCCCCAGAGAGGAGCCATCACTGAATTTCTAAGTGATCCATTCCTAACAGCCTTGGTAAGTGGGTTATCATCTGGGTCCTGTGTGCAGCACAGGCCTCTGGGAGTTCCAGCCTTACATGGCACACCTCCTCTGGTGGGCCCACCTCTCTGAGCCTAAGTGCCAAGGGCCTACCGTCTGCTCCAGCAGTTCTCACTTCATGCTGGCCGCTGCTTTTTCCCATGTTTCTAGGAATCATCTGCAGTGAGTTTGCACCATCTCCTGGGACACTGGTGAGAGTATTAAATCCTGTATCCTGGGAGAGTTCTCCCAAGTTGATAAATACTCCCTTATCTAACCTTACCTTCTGACCTCCTTGACCAGACACCCTTGGATTCCAGTCCCATGTTCCTGCAGACCTGTGCTGGGTAGGTCCTACAGCTCCTTTGGGGTATAGCCCCATCTTTCCTCACCAGGCTCAACATGCCCACAGCTGGTTGCTGTTGTGACTTCATCCTAGTCATTGGCCTAATGACCAGGAGGACAGACAAGGCAGAGCCTGAGCCGGGGACGTGTTGTCTGGCTGGGGAGAGGCCTCTGCACAGTGTCCAGGCAAGGAGGGAGGGAGTGCCAGCCCTTAGCGGCAGGGGCGGCATTCCTGCCAGCTCAGAGGGCTCAGTGGGGATATAGAGAGTCCATCGTTTGTAGAGACCTCAACCTAAATGTTCCCAGCCTGTGTGTCAGAGTTGTACTCTCTCTCTCTCTCCTTTTTTTTTTTTTTTTGGCAAGGGGTAGGGGGACAGAGTGTCGCTATGTCACCCAGGCTGGAGTACAGTGGTGCGATCTCAGCTCACTGGAACCTCCGCCTCCCGGATTCAAGTGATTCTCCTGCCTCAGCCTCCTGAGTAGCTGGGATTACAGGTGCATGCCACCACACTTGGCTAATTTTCATATTTTTAATAGAGACAGGGATTCACCATGTTGGCCAGGCTGGTTTTTCATATTTTTAGTAGATACAGGGATTCACCACGTTGGCCAGGCTGGTTTCTAACTCTTGACCTCGTGATCCACCCACCTCGGCCTCCCAAAGTGCTGAGATTACAAGCGTGAGCCACTGTGTCAGGCCACAGGGTTGCGCTCTCTTCTAACCAGGGCCCTGGCCTTGGCACAGTAGACCTGCCTTGGTTGGAGTTGCATCTTCTGTGGATCCTGAGCCTGGTTTCTGCTTTCTCCGTCCTCCTGGTGCAGATGAGAGCCTCTTTAAACGCCAACAGAAGGGCCTCTGGCTTTCACGTTAGCCTTTAATTGCTGAGCTGGGACTACAGGCATGTGTCACCACACCCAGCTAATTTTTTATTTTTAGTAGAGACGGAGTTTCACCATGTTGGCCAGGCTGGTCTTGAACTCCTGACCTCAGGTGATCCTCCTATCTTGGCCTCCCAAAGTGCTGGAATTACAGGCACCCGCCCAGCCAATACATTTTAAAAAATGTTGTATATTGATTTCAGGCCTTTTATTTTCTTAAAAGCAGCAGCTATTTAGCCTAATTCTGAGCAGTGGTTTGTTCTCTGGGCCAGTAGGATTTTATGCATGCTTTTTGTGATCCGTGTTCAAAATCTGCATTGCCAACATTGCAGCTCCAATGTAAGCTTGTTATTCAAATAAATATTTAATTTTTAAACTTGCTTCTGTACTGTATGGCTGGGTACAGTGGCTCATGCCTGTAATCCCAGCATTTTGGGAGGCTGAGGCTGGTGGATCACCTGAGGTCAGGAGTTTGAGACCAGCCTGGCCAGCATGGTGAAACCTCGTCTCTACTAAAAATACAAAGATTAGTTGGCCATGGTGGTGGGCACCTGTAATCCCAGCTACTCAGGAGGCTGAGGCAGAAGAATCACTTAAACCCGGGTGGCAGAGGTTGCAGTGAGCTGAGATCATGCCACTGCACTCCAGCCTGGGCGACAGAGTGAGACTCCATCTCAAAAAAAAAAAAAAAAAAAAAAATTGCTCCTGTATTACCAGATGCCCCTTTTAGTATTATTTTAGAAGCATTGGGAGAGTTTTGGCTAAAGTGCAATTTACCAGAAAACACTAGATTTTAGCTTTATAAAACTTAAATCTTTCATAGGACCTATATTTTCTTGAATTAAATTTTGCAGTTCTAGGCCAGGCACAGTGGCTCATGCCTGTAATCCCAGCATTTGGGAGGCCGAGGCGGGTGGATCATGTGAGGTCAGGAGTTCAAGACCAGCCTGGCCAACATGGTGAAACTCCGTCTCTACTAAAAGTAGAATATAAGTAGTGTATAAGCCCTGGGTCCTAGGCTCTGGGTATAAGCCTCACGTTTTTTCTGGGTATAAGACTTGTGTTTCCTAGGCTCTGGATATAAGCTACATGTCCTAGGCTCTGAGTACAAGCCCAATGTCCTAGGCTCCGTGTATAAGACCCAGGTCCTAAACTCTGGATATAAGCCTTGTGTCCTCGGCTCTGGGTATAAGCCTTGTGTTTTAGTCTTTGGGTATAAGCTCCATATCCTAGGCTCTGGGTATAAGCTTTGTTTCCTAGGCTCTGGGTATAAGCCCCACGTCCTTGGCTCTGTGTATAAGCCCCAAGTCCTAGGCTCTGGGTATAAGCCCCAAATCCTAGGCTCTGGGTATAAGCCCCGGGTCCTAGGCTCTGGGTATAAGCCCCGGGTCCTAGGCTCTGGGTGTAAGCCCCAAGTCCTAGGCTCTGGGTGTAAGCCCCGGGTCCTAGGCTCTGGGTGTAAGCCCCGGGTCCTAGGCTCTGGGTGTAAGCCCCGGGTCCTAGGCTGTGGGTGTAAGCCCCGGGTCCTAGGCTCTGGGTGTAAGCCCCGGGTCCTAGGCGCTGGGTATAAGCCCCGGGTCGTAGGCTCACCCCAGGACCCCCCAGCACAGGTCCAGTGGCTTCCCGTTATTAGAGGTGAATGTGATCCTGGGCATCATTTATTTGGGGGAAAATTGGATTCTTTGGGGCTCCAGTTCCTCTCTGCTGCTGGCTCTCCTAGGCTGCCAGTCCCACATCCCACTTCCCCTGTGTAGAAGGGGGAAGGCCACCCCCTCCACACTCCCCCCCATGAGGCTGAAAGTGGCCAAATTCTCCCATAGAAAAAGTTTGCTGCGGCTTTGAATAAACATAGAAATTGATCATCCCAGCCTTAAAGAAAGTTACATTTGTCTCAGTGGAGTTTTCTTGGGAAACCTCCCAGAGAACAGTAGGGAGCTGAAACTTACGAGCTAGAGCTCTGGGCCTGATAGTGAGAGGCCTGCCCCTCAGCCCTCCGGAGTGCCTCAGCCACCTGGTGTCTGTTGACCAACGCCTTTGCCTCCCTGCTCTCTAACTCCTGTTTTTCCACAACTGGTTACATTTCTTCTTGGCCAGGCCTCCAGGACCCCCACCCTCTGCACTGCCCTGGATGCTGACGAAGGCTCTCCTTCCCTCTCCCTAACCAGCTCCTCCCCTCCTCCCACCTTTGGCCATGCAGAGGCCCAGCTACACTGTGCCTCTGCCTCTGAGAAATGGCTGGGGGTGCGCTGCGGGGGTGCGCTGCTGGGGAGCCTGGAGCTGGGGTAGGGATGGGGGGTTGGGGAGAGGGTGTTGTTCTCAGAGTCCTCTGGGTCGCAACCCCAGCAACCCCAGCAGTACCAGATCTTGCATCCCCACCTGGTTTCCTTGCCCGCTGTGCAGTGGAAAGGGCGCACCTGTTTGAAAGGAGCGGCTGTGCTTGCAGAGGTGCGCTGACCCAGGATACTGGTGGCCTTTCCAGCACCCGCCTGTCTGGCAGCCACCGCCCCACGCTCCTATCCCTGCTTAGTGGAGCCCCGCTGCTACCGCGTCCTGTTCTGACCTCTGCCAGCCCGCGCCCCGCTCCCCTCCGCGTCCTGCTGCCCGCGTTCTGTACCTGCCCGCGCCCCGCTCCTACGCGTGCGCCACTCCTATCCGTGCCCCGCTCCTAGCTAAGCCCGGCCCGTGCCCACTCCCACCCGCCGCCTTGCGCTGCCCCTTCCGGCTCCTCCCCAGCAGCCGGCACCCGCCTGGCCCAACAGTGACAGAGCAGGGCGCGCAGCCGCTGAGTGCTCTGGAGTCCCTGCCCCGAGGTGCCACGCCCACGTCGGCCTCACCCGGGCAGGCATGGGGCGGTCGGGCTTAGCGCCGCACCCCGCCGGCCAGAGCCACCGTCTCTCCAGACGCGGCCCCAGCGCCCACTGGGGATGGCAAAGACGACATCCGGTGCGCCGAGGCTGCTCACAAAAGTAAGTCTTGCTGGCTGCAGGCGCCCGCATCGGCCAGTGCAAAGGTGGCCCAGAGTGCCAAGCGGCGGAGCCGAGCTTTGAGAAGCACCTTTCTGCTTGCGCTGGGCAGCGGGCTGCGTGTGACTGGCCACCTGGCCTCGGCTGGGAGCGCACTGGTGGCGGGCGGCGGGCAGGTCTCTGACAGGAGCAGGCGCCCGCGAGCAGCGGGGCTGGTGCCCAGAACCTAGCGCAGTGGGAGTTCCCAGCGTGGTTGTCCCAAGCACCAAAGCCGGTGTCCTGAAGCAAACAGGGCAGCTCTTTCGGGGCAGGTGTGGGCGAAGGGGCGGGGAGCCCAGGAAGCCACGAGTGGCACGGGTCTGCTGTTTTTGAAGGAGACGGTGCAGTCCTGGTTTCCTTTTTTAAAATTTTATTTTATTATGCTTTAAGTTCTGGGGTACATGTGCAGAAAGTGCAGGTTGGTTAACAGGTATACATGGGCCACGGTGGTTTGTTGCACCCATCAACCCGTCATCAACATTAGGTATTTCTCCTAATGCTATCCCTCCCCCCAGCCCCCGACAGGCCCCAGTGTGTGATGTTCCCCTCCCTGTGTCCATGTATTCTCATTGTTCAACTCCCACTTATGAGTGAGAACATGTGGTGTTTGGTTTTCTGTTCCTGTGTTAGTTTGCTGAGAATGATGTTTCCCAGCTTCATCCATGTCCCTGCAAAGGACAGGAACTCATCCTTTTTTATGGCTGCATAGTGTATATGTGCCACGTTTTCTTTATCCAGTCTATCATTGATGGACATTTGGGTTGGTTCCAAGTCTTTGCTATTGTGGAACAGTGCCGCAATAAACATATGTGTGCTTGTGTCTTTATAGTAGAATGATTGATAATCCTTTGGGTATATACCCAGTAATGGGATTGCTGGGTCAAATTGTATTTCTATTTCTAGATCCTTGAGGATGTGGAGAAATAGGAACGCTTTTACACTGTTGGTAGGAGTGTAAATTAGTTCAACCATTGTGGAAGACAGTGTGGCGATTCCTGGTTTCCTTTTTGAGCTCTACCTTCGTCATTCCTCCTCCAGCTCTGCCGCTTTGGCTGGCAGAGGAGTGCAGAGGCTCTCTTTGGCAAGGTTGCTTTGCTCTCCTGCGTTTTTGCCACCTGGTCTTTAAAAACCTAAAAGCCTGTGGTTTCTGGGGTGGCTCCCTTGGAGGGGCTGCAGTGGGCTGAGACCCAGCCTGCAGCCTGGGAGTTCTGTGCCACTGTCTGGGAGGGCACCTGAAGATGTGGCTTTGGGGCCATGGGAGGTCAGGGACAACACTTATGGGTGCAAGTTTTGGGTCTGGGTGTCGGGGCCAGGGGTGCTGCTGCACTGAGGATGAGGTGCAGGGTGTGGTGTTGAGTGTCAGGGGCAGAGTTGCTGCAGTGCAGAGGACAGAGGTGGTGCAGGGCAGGGTTCCTGGGCATGAAAAGGCAGGGGTGACAGAGCAGGAGCACCGTCATCTCAGACAAACACCGCCACTTTAAGTTCCAGCTCCCTTTCTAGCCCCATGCATTTCAAGGATATCACTTAACTTCTAACTACAAGCAGCAGCCAGAAAGAGCAGGCAGTAAAAGATAAGACAGCTTGGGCACAGAGGGAGGTGGGGGGAGGGGGGAAAGTCTCTCAAGTAACTACCAAACTTCACCCTCATACAATGGGCCCCAGTAAACCAGTGGGCCTTAATAATCACAGTCCTTTCCCTTCAGATGCGCTAAGATAGGGAAGCTAAAGCAGACTCGGGGGAGGGGAGGTATGCCTGCGGCTGAAGCAAGATGTATGGGAACAGACACACAATTCTCCCTCCCAGATAAGCACAACAAAGAGACATAGGAGCAGTGCAAGCCTCTGATAAACTCTCCCACCCTGAATCCTTAAAAACTTTTAGCATGTAGGGGAGTGCGGCTTCTGACTTGACTTGGACAGAAGTCCCTCCCAGGTTTGAAATAAACCTGCTGACTGTTGAGCCACCCTTCGTGTTTCTCTCCTCTTTAATTCTTACAACCCCTCCTTCTGAGATGGAGATGTTTCCAGCTGGGGAAACTGAGGCTCAGAGAGAGTCGACTAAGGGAAGGCAAGAAAGGGAGGCAGAGCCCCCTGCAGGCCCTCCTCACCCGAGGAACTGAGAGAAGCCAGGGCCAGGGCCTGGCCTGCCTTGCAACCCACTCTGCCTCCACCTCTCCTTGTGGGACCTCGGGGTGGCCCCATTTCCCTTGTGCGGGCGAGGAGCTCCTTTTTGCTGCCTGATGTTTTGGATCCTGAGCCCACACCCAGGCAGGGCTGTCTCCTCTCCCTATAGTTGCTGAGGCCATCAGGCCGCAGGCTTCACCTCTGTTCTCTACTGGGTGATCCTCTGGTCAGGTCCCTGGGTGTGCATGTGGAGGAAGGTGTGCATCCGTGTGCATGTGTGTCCACACATGTGAACACAGGTGTATGCATGTGTGCACGTATGCAAGTGTACAGGGGTGCACCCACATGAGGCTCCCCAGACCTTTTCCCCAGGAGAAGACCATATCTCCCCCTGGTGTCAGGTGTCCACTCAAGCCCTCCAAGGGTGGGGATGGGGAGAAGGGAAAAGTGCCTGGGATGCCAGGCAGGAGTGCAGGCTCAGATGGGCCCTGAGGTGGTCACAGAGCTGAGCCAGGCATCCAGTCTGTGCAGCAGCCAAGATGTGGCCAGAGAGGTTCCTGGGAGGTGGGGGCGGGGGGGTGCTATTCAGGCCCACCCCCTTCTCTCTTCATTCTCCTAGGGGACAGTCACAGGAGCTTGTCTGTTGCCAAAAGTCCCCCTCAGCCCCTCCCTACCTACAATGTCCCTTCCCTGGGCATAGGCCTGAGTGTGAAGACTGTGTAGCTGCTAGCAACAGAAACGGGGCTTGTATGCACCCAAGGGAGACAACTCCAGCTCTGTAAAGCCTGGCGGGGGTGGGTGGCAGGCAGCAGAGGGTCCAGTGGTTTAGGGTACCTCTCGTGGGCTGGCTGCCCACACCACCTACCCCTCAGCAGGCCGGCTCTGGACATAGCGGTTGGCCAAGTCTGAGCCAGCCCGTCTTGGCAACTCCTCCTCCTGCCTGCCAGGGTGACTTCACTTTTTCAGATCTGCAGTGATGTGCAGATCACTGATTCAGCCCTGAGCTCAGCCAGGATGCAGGAGAAAGAGGAGGGGCTGGCCCCGGGGCACCCCAGGCCCAGCTTCCTGGGCCCTCCCACCCCATGGCCCCATGGGCTTCCCTTCCTCCATCTGTCTGTGGCTGGGTGCAGGCCAGACCTCAAGAGGCAGCTGGGGGATATGGAAAGAACAGGGACTTTCCCCACAGAAGCCCAGAACCCACCTCCTACCTCACCCCAGGACCCCCCTGACAGGTCCATGGCTTCCCCTTTTTAGAGGTGAATGTGATGCTGGGCATCATTTCTTCGGGGGAAAACTGGATTCTCTGGGGCTCCATGCTGGCTCTCCTAGTCCCACACCCCGTGCTTTCCTGTGTAGAGGAGGGAAGGGCCCCCCCCACTCCCCCAATGAGGTGGAAAGTAGCCAAATTCTCCTGTAGATGTTTACTGCTTCTTTGAATAAATGTAGAAATTGATCCTCCCAGTCTTAAAGAAAGTTACATTTGTCTCACTGGAGTTGGTTTCTCCGGAAACCTCCCAGAGAACAGTAGGGAGTTGAAACTTACCAGCTCGGGGCCTGACATTGACAGGCCTGCCCCTCACCCCTCTGGACTGCCTCAGCCACCTGGTGCCTGTTGACCAACGCCTCTGCCTCCCGCCTCCCTAATTCTTGTTTTTCCAAACCTGGTTACATTTTTCCCAGGCCTGGCCTCCAGGACCCCCACCCTCTGCACTGCCCTGGATGCTGACAAACGCTCTCCTGCCCCCTTCCCTGCCCATATCTTCCCTTCCTCTGGCCTCTAGCCCCACAGAGGCTGAGCTCCACCGAGCCTCTGCCTCAGGAGAAATGGCTGGGGATGCGCTCTGGTGGGGGGAGCCTGGAGCTGGGGTAGGGATGGGCGGTTGGCGGGGAGGGTGGTGTTCTCAGAGTCCTCGGGTCACAACCCCAGCAGTCTCAGATCTTGCATCCTGCACGGCTTCCCTGCTGTCTTTGTGCAGCAAAAAGGGCAAAGCACAGGGACTGCAGGCAGGTGCACCTGGTGAAAGGAGGGGCTGTGCGTGCAAAGGCGAGCGGACTCAGGTTAGTGGTGGCCTTCCCAGCACCACGCCCTGCTCCCGCCTGCGCCCTGCTCCTACCTCTGCCGGCCGGCTTTGCTCTTACCCGCGCCCCGCTCCTGTGGCGACCCGCTCCTATCCCTGCCTGGCCCGCTCCCCGCTCCTGCCCCTGCCCCTGCCCCTGCCTGGCCCCCGCCCCGCTCCTGCCCTTGCACAGTCCGCGCTCCTCTCCTACATGCCGCCTGCGTGCTTCCCCTGCCTGCTCCTCTCGCGCACGGCGCTCGCCTGGCGGGCAGAGACCAGAGCAGGGCGTACAGCAGCTCAGATTGCCCAGGAGTCCCTGCCCAGAGGTGCCATGCCCACAGTGTCCCTCGGGTCCACCAAGCCCTGGGCAGGCATGGGGCGACCGGGCTGAGCGCCGCACCCCGCCCCGCAGAGCCGCCGGTCAGAACCACCGTCCTTTCTGCGCGACCCCGGTGCGCAGGGGCGAAGGAGACATCCGGTGCTGCTGCCGCTGCTCGGCAAAAGTGAAAGTCCCGCCGGCTGAGGGTGCCCTCACGGGCCAGCGCGAAGGTGGCCCCGTGCGCACAGCGCCCTGATAATTGCTTTTTTTCTTGTGATGGGCATCGGGCTGAGCGTCGCAGGCCACCCGGCCTCAGCTTGGAGAGCATTGGCATGGCAGGTCTGCAGGAGCAGGCGCCGGCCTGGCAGCGGGCTTGGTGCCCAGAACCCAGCCACAGCCGGAGGTCCCAGTGTGGCTGCCCCTCCCGCCAAAGCCGCCTCCCGAAGTAAACAGGACAGCCCTTTCTGAGCAAGCATGAGCAGAGGGCCGGGGAGCCCAGAAGTCGCCACTGTCCTGGGCCTGCTGTTTCTGCAGCAGATGGCCCAGTCCTGAGTTCCCTTCTGCGCTCTACCTCCCTCATTCCTCCTCCAGCTCTGCTGCTGGAGTGGAGCGGTCTCTTAGGCAAGGCTACTTTGCTCTCCTGCATTTTTGCCACTCTGGTCTTTAAACATCTAAAAGCCTGTCGTTTCTGGGGTGGAACCCTTGGTGAGGCTGCCGTGGGCCTCAACCCACCGGGCAGCCTGGGAGTTACGTGCTGCTGCGGACAGAGCACCTAAAGATGCGGCCTTCAGGGCCATGGGAGGCTCAGGGCCAACACTTACCGGTGCGGGTTTTGGGACTGGGTGTCAGAGGACAGGGGTGCTGCTGTGCTGAGGACAGGTGGGGCAGGGCGGGTGGCCCGGGCATCAAAAGGCATGGATGGTGCTGTGCTGAGGGCGGGGTTCAGGGTGGCGGGGCTGGGATTCAGGGCAGGGGTGCTGCTGTGCTGAGGACAGCGGGTGCAGGGCCGGGGGCTCGTTTTCAGGGGTCAGGGTGGGGGAATGGGTGTCGGGGCAGGGGTGCTGCTTTGCTGAGGACAGGGTGCAGGGTGGGGGGCTTGGTTTCATGATACAGGGGTGCTGTTGTGCTGAGGACGGGGTGAATGTTGACGGGCTGAAGGTCCAGGTACAGGGGTACCACTGCGCTGAGGACAGGGAGTGCCGCGTGGGGCCTGGGTGCCAGGGTTTGGGGTGCAAATATAGTGAGGTCAGGATGCATTGGGGAGAGTGCCGCAGGGACCTCGGGAGCTGTCACATGGCAGGGAGAGGCCGCAGTCAACACCCTGTGTCATGATTTCTTCCCCACCTGTGTGTGGCCAGGCGCAGGGGACTAGACAGTGGCTGCCAAACAGGGAGTGCACCCCGGCGGTGGCTGTAGGGGACCACGACAGTGGGGCCACCTCTCCCTGCGTGTCTGCACCTGGGCCTGCCAGGGCTGTCTGCCATGCTCCATGGGGTGGGGGTCTTCGGCCCCTGGGAGGCTGCCGGTCGGTGTGACTTGGAGAGGTTGTGGTCAGGGGTCCCCTGGGGGCTGTGATGCAGTAACTAACTGCACCCTTTGGGGCTGGGAGGGGTGAGAAGGTTCTAGGCCTCCCAGAGCCCACCTGGCTCCTCCATCAGAAAGGCAGCCAGGCTTGGGGTTGAGGAGGTGATGCTGTGCCCCCTGAGGCAGGCTCCACTTTCCCCAGGGGACCTTGGCTCTAGGGTGAGGCCCAGGCCTGGGAATGGCTCTGAGATCATCCCTGGGCCTCCGTGGAGCTCTGGCGTCACGGCTGTGTGGTTGTGGGGACTTCCCCACACAGTATGTTCTTGCCTTGCATCCACTCAGACAGAGAGCTTACATTTTTATACTTGTTTATCATTGTGAGTTTTGAATAAATTTTTATAACTTTGTTTCAATTAATCTTTACTATCTTCAGCTAGACTTAATCAAAAATTAAATCAATTCTTTATTATTAAAATTCATAGGACTAAAAAAGTATAAAAATTGAACTAATTAAACCTTCAAAGAATATTTTTATATATTTGCAATATTTTTGCTTCTAAAATCAATAAAAGTAAAGTGCATGAGAAATTTTGGAATATTCAGCATACACACACACACACATATACACACATATCTGTGACAAATCAATTCAGTATTTTCAAATAGAAGAAACAAGCCTTTCTTTTAGTTCAGAAGCTTTATTTTAGTATTTCTTATAAGGTAGGAGTGCTGGCAGCAAATTTTCTGTCTTTGTTTATTGGGGAATATCTTTATTTTTAAAGGATAGATTTGCCGGACACGGCATTTTTAGTTGACAATTTTTTTTCTTTCATTCTTTGACTATGCCATCCCATTGCCTTCCCACCATTGTTTCTTTCTTCTTCTTCTTCTTTTTTTTTTTTTGAGACGGAGTCTCCCTCTGTTTGTTGCCCAGGCTGGAGTGCAGTGGTGTGATCTCAGCCCACTGCAACCTCTGCCTCCCAGGTTCAAGCGATTCTCCAGCCTTAGCCTCCGAGGAGCTGATATTACAGGCACGCACAAACATGCCCAGCTAATTTTTGTATTTTTAGTAGAGACAGGGTTTCATCATGTTGGCCAGGCTAGTCTCGAACTCCTGACCTCAGGTAATCCACCTGCCTTGGCCTCACAAAGTGCTGGGATTACAAGCGTGAGCCACCGTGCCTGGCTTCACCATTGTTTCTGATCAGAAATCAGTGGCTAATTTTATCGTGGTGCTCTTGTACATGAAGAGAAGTTTTTGTCTTACTGTTTTCAATATTTACTCTTTGTCTTTTCATAGCTTGACACAGGTGTGTAGGAGTGGATATCTTGATTTTTATTTTACTAAAAGTAAACATTGATTCTATAGATTAATGTTTTATATCAAATTTGGTAAGTTTTCAGCCATTATTTCTGTAAATAGTTGTTTCCCCTCTTCTTTCTTTCTGAGACTCTCATTCTACATATATTGTGCTTGATGTTTCATAAGTCATTTTTCTTTTTCTTTTTTTTTTTTTGAGACAGAGTTTCGCTCTTGTTGCCCAGGCTGGAGTGCAATGGCACGATCTTGGCTCACTGCAACCTCTGCCTCCCAGGTTCAAGCGATTCTCTTGCCTCAGCCTCCCGGATAGTGGGATGCACCACCACACCAGCTAATTTTGTATTTTTAGTAGAGATGGGGTTTCTCCATGTTGATCAGGCTGGTCTCGAATTCCCGACCTCAGGTGATCCGCCTGCCTCGGTGGCCCGAAGTGCTGGGATTACAGGAGTGAGCCACCGTGCCTGGCCCTTTTTAAGTTCTTTTAACATAAGTAACTGCTTTGAAGTCTTTGTTTGCTAAGTGTGACATCTGGGGACACAAAGACAGTTTCCCCCCACACTTGCCTGTTTCTTTTTGTCTTGTAACTTATCATTGAACACTGGATACTTTAGGTTATAGACTCTTCAACTCTGGATTCTGATTCTTTTCTGCTGAGAGTTGTTACTGTTTGTTCGTTTGTTTGTAACCAGCCTGCACTAAATTTGTAAATTCTGTAAGCAGCGTGTAGCCGGAGCCGTCTCTGCTCATTTTTTGTTTGTTTCTTATGCATGGCTTCCCAGGAACCGCTCCTTTATCTGCGTGCTTGGTATTCTGCCAACAGTTGTCTGAATTTGTACACTAACACCTTGAGTCGGTGAGGCTTCCACTGTGGCTGATGGATCTACCCGTGGACTAGGGCGTGCACACACAGCTCAGGCCATCTGCTTTCCACAGGCACCTCCCCTCGCTGTGTCTTCTCTTCGCATGAGCTCAGGCACCGTCATCAGTCAGTGATGCTGGGTGGTTTGGGCAGGTTCTGGTCTCTGAGGAGACGAGCAGAGCTACTGGTCCTTCCTGTGTGTTTGCATCGATATCCCTATTTGAAAATTCTCCAAATCATGTGAGTCCCTCTGGTGGTGACAGCAAAGCTGCTGGTTTCATGGTGTTCAACAAATGTGTTTTATATTTAGGTCTATGGGCCGGGAGTGGTGGCTCAGGCCTGTAATCCAAGCACTTTGGGAGACTGAGGTGGGCAGATCACCAGAAGTCAGGAGTTCAAGACCAGCCTGGCCAACATGGTGAAACCCCATCTCTACTAAAAATACAAAATTTAGCCAGGCATGGTGGTGGTCACCTGTAATCCCAGCTACTCAGTGGGCTGAGGCTGGAGAATCGCTTGAACCTGGGAGGCAGAGGTTGCAGTGAGCCGAGATTGCACACAATAAATAAATGATTTAATGCCCATACAATGGAGTGCTGTGCAGCTCTTAAAAAGAATGCCACAAGCATGGTCAACACATACTGTTCTACTGGATGAGGAGTATTACCATCAGCTCCATTTTTCAGGTGAGAAAACTGAGACTTAGGGAGGCTACATAATTTTCCGAAGGTCACTCCCTACTGAATGTAGGAGCAGGGATCTGACAGCCACCTAATGACACCCTAGAACAGCACTCTCTCCTCCGCTCTCCTCCATGTCCCCCTCTGACTCCCGGGAGACCTCCCCAGCTTGCAGTCCCCAGGGCCCTGGTGTCCATAACCCGAGGAAGGGGAGGGGCCCATGAGATCTTGGACTTTCTCACTTTCTGAAAATGAGCAACTGAGAACGAGACTTGACTTTGCTTAGGAAGTATAAACAAATGCGACATTTATTGCCTATCAAATATTAGAAGCAGTTCGTCTATTTAACGTGTGTTAGTATCGGTGTTCCTTTTTATTCAAACTCTCCCTATTGAGCTCAAGAATCAAAGTCAGATAACTTTGTCGATAAATCCCTTCCTTTCTACACCCTTGCTACTCACTGTCTCAAGACCCAAACTCACTGGGACAAGGCGCTGCCCCTCCTGATTCAAGCCTGGTGTCTGCCTCTCACTATGCAAATCAGGAGCCAGACAGCCGCGGAGAGGGCGGCGGTGAGTGCACAGAGCACACGCATGCGTTCGGCTTGCCCCCACGCCGCCCCCGTTATCTCTGTGCGTGTGAAGATGAGAAATTTTCACTTCTCCAGTGAGTTACTGTACTGCTTTGACTCTCACAAGCGTGTCGACTTGATGGATTTTTGTAAATATAGCCGTCAGCGGATGCCTCTTGTCCCCATCTCGGGAACCATAACCCAGATTCCCAAAGGGGAGCTTGCCCACATGGATGGAAACTGAGGCCCTCAGAGAGGCCATCGGCCTTGATCCCTTGCTCCTATTCAAAGATCTCAACATTATTGCAGCCTTCCTTGGGGCAGCCGGACATTCCCGTGTGGAGGAAGCGTCCACTCACGTGCCATGGGAACTTTGTAGATTTCACTGTGATGCAAACAGCTCCCCGTGAGGCCCTCAGTGCCCAGGGCCCGTTGTTGGGTGCTTTTGAGGGTGGGAGGTGGAGGGGTTTCCATTTTGCTTGGGGGATCAGCATCACCCATTCTTTCTCCTTTTCCTCTGGGCTGGTGCTCAGATGGTGAGAGCACTGTGCTGATGAGGTGGGCCCTGGGGTGGAACCCATGGCCCCCTCTGACTCCCAGGAGACCTGGCCAGCTGCAGCGGCCCCCGTGGACCAGCAGAGGGACAAGAGAGGAGCTGACGTGGAGGAGCCGAGGCCCACTGGGGGCTCCTGGAGAGTCCGTCCGCCTGTGGACAGCAGCTCAGGTGTTCAGCTGCTTCCAGAGAGGAAGCACCTCTTCCTAGACTGAGGCATCGTTTTGATTAAAAAAAAAAAAAAAGTTGATTTTTTTCACCTTGGTGTAAATTTTTGTTAGTAACAATATGTTAGTTGTCAGTTACCACTATTTGTTTTTCTTTCTTTCTTTCTTTCTTTTTTTTTTACATTTTTGAAATTATTTACAGAGATGGGCTCTCGCTACGTTGTCCAGGCTGGTCTCAGACTCCTGGCCTCAGTGGTCCTCCCACCTTGGCCTCCCAAAGTGCTGGGACTACAGGTGTGAGCCGTGGCACCTGGCCTGTTTTTCTTTATTACTACAGATATTATCTGAAGCTTTAAAGCCTCCTGGAGTGAAAGCTAGTTCATAACCACGCTGTTTGGAGCGAAGAAAACTACCTGGAATTCTTGTTCTCCAAAGATATGGAATTATCCCAGCAACAGCCGTCCTTCACTGCTCTGTCCTGAGGACCCTCAGGTGTGGCCCATCCAGCCCCTCAGTGTTTACCTCTGTCCTAAGGACTCTCAGGTGTGGGCGATCCAGCCCCTTAGTGTTTCCCTCTGTTTTGGAGATCCTCAGGTATGGTCAATCCTATTAGTGTTTTCCTTTGTACTGGGGATGCTCAGGTGTGATCTATCCATCTTCTCAGTGTTTTACCTCGTTCCTGGAGACCCTCAGGTTCCATCCATCCATCCAATTGGTTTTTACCTCTGTCCTGGAGACCCTGAGGTGTGGTCTATCCATCCCATTAGTGTTTACCTCTGTCCTGGGGACCCTCAGTTGTGGTCAATCCATCCCATTAGTGTTTTTCCATTGTCCTCGAGACTCTCAGGTGTGGTCTATCCGTCCCATTAGTGTTTACATCTATCCTGGGAACCCTTAGGTGTGGTCCATCCATTTCTTTAGTGTTTACCTCTGCCTTGGGCCCCTCAGATGTGGTCGATCCCCAAAGTGTTTTATCTCTATTCTGGGGAATCTCAGTTGTGGTTCATCCATCCGCTTAGTGTTTACCTCTGTCCTGGGGACCCTGAGGTGTGGCCCATCCCCTTATTGTTTACCTTTGTCCTGGGGGCCCTCAGATATGGCCCATCCATCCCCTGAGTGTTTTACCTCGGTCCTCGAGACCCTCAGGTGTGGTCTATTAATTTAGTGTTTACTGCACCCTGGGGACTCACAGGTTTGGTCTATCCCAATAGGTTTTTTATGTCGGCCCTGGGAACTCTCAGATGTGGCCCATCCATCCCGTCAGTGTTTCCCTCTGTCCTGGGGTCACTCAAGTGTGGCCCATCCACCCCCTCAGTGTTTCCCTCGGTCCTGAGGATGCTCAGGTGTGGCCCATCCAGCCCCTCAGTGTTTTCCTCGGTCCTGGGGATGCTCAGGTGTGGTCCATCCATCCCCTCAGTGTTTCCCTCGGTCCTGAGGATGCTCAGGTGTGGCCCATCCAGCCCCTCAGTGTTTTCCTCGGTCCTGGGGATGCTCAGGTGTGGTCCATCCAGCCCCTCAGTGTTTCCCTCGGTCCTGAGGATGCTCAGGTGTGGCCCATCCCTCCCCTCAGTGTTTTCCTCGGTCCTGGGGATGCTCAGATGTGGCCCATCCATCCCCTCAGTGTTTCCCTCGGTCCTGAGGATGCTCAGGTGTGGCCCATCCATCCCCTCAGTGTTTTCCTCTGTCCTGGGGATGCTCAGGTGTGTGTCCTGGGGATGCCCATCCCCTTAGTGTTTTACCTCCAACTTTCTCTATTTTTTGTTTCCAGTCTTCCCACACAGGTTGAGAGAGGAGGGGATCCAATTGCCTGTGAGGAGGACACGGCTCCTGGGTGGACCCTGCAGATTGTGAAGTTCAAGTCACAGCTCCTGGGAAGGTCTCTGTGTGTAAAGATCGTGGGGGTGAGACAGATTCAGGGACCACACTCTGCTCTGCTCTGTACCTCTGAGTGTCAATCCAGCTGCCTTGTGACCAGGACACTTAGAAGAAGCATGGACCCTGCAAGAGGGCAGGTTTGGAGAGTGAGATGAGCACGCTTGAGGGATTAACGTGTAACTTGAACCACTGCCTCGCAAACTACGTGAGGGCGTGCAGGTGTGTGTCTGTGCGTGTGTGTGCTGGGGGGATGTTTAGCAGCCTCACGGAGGGGTAACTCACATACAAGAGAACAAGGCCAGGCGTGGTGGCTCACGCCTGTAATCCCAGCACTTTGGGAGGCTGAGGTGGGTGGATCACGTGAGGTTAGGAGATCGAGACCAGCCTGACCAACATGGTGAAACCCTGTCTCTACTAAAAATATAAAAAATTAGCCAGGTGTGGTGGTGCATGCCTGTAATCCCAGCTACTCTGGAGGCTGAAGCAGGAGAATCACTTGAACCCGGGAGGCGGAGATTGCAGTGAGCCGAGATCACGCCACTGCACTCCAGCCTGGGCAACAAGAGTGAAACTCCATCTCAAAAAAAAAAAATTTTTTTTTGATCGATGTTGACACACGTACGCACCCGCAAAACCATGACCAGGAGCATCACGACTCCCAAAGCTTCCTCGTGATTCTTTGGAATCCCTCCCTACAGCCCCTCCCACCCCCCCCATCCCAAGCAGCCACTGATTTGCTTTCTGTCACAGTCAGTAGATTTGCAATTTCCTTAATACCATGTCTGAGCCCAGTAGGCAAATACTTTCTTTTTATTGGGTGGACATTTTGTGGCATGTTCAAGCTTTTGAATTCAGAGAGTGAGAGAATGAGAAAGAAAAGGCTGGTCTGGGTCACTCCTGGGAGGCCTGGCCCTAAGCACAGTGTGGCTCACGTGCCCTGGAGCCCCTGGTCTGGGTCACTCCTGGGAGGCCTGGCCCTAAGCACCGTGTGGCTCACGTTCCCTGGAGCCCCTGTGCACTGGACATCCCTGACTGCCCTGCCGCAAGCTTTATAGCTCCCCCATCACCTTTCCCGGACCAGCTGGTACAATCTCAAACTTTTCACCAATTCTGACATCTAAACAACTAACGCCAGAGACAGGCTCTGTGGGACCAGCAGCTGCGACCTCACCTCCAGTCACTGGAACACTGAGCTGTTAAATGAAAGGTGCGTCCTTTTTTTTTTTTTTTTTTTTGAGACAGCGTCTCGCTCTGTCACCCAGGCTGGAGTACAGTGGCACGATCTCCGCTCACCGCAACCTCTGCCTCCCAGGTTCAAGCGATTCTCATGCCTCAGCCTCCTGAGTAGCTGGGATTACAGGTGCCTCTCATCACGCCCAGCTAATGTTTGTATTTGTTGTAGAGACAGGGTATCACCAGACTCCTGGGACCTCCGCCTCCCGGGATGGTCTCCATCTCCTGACCTCGTGATCCGCCTGCCTCTGTCTCCCAAAGTGCTGGGATTACAGGCCTGAGCCACTGCGCCCGGCCAGGTGCGTCCTTCTTTCTCCCTTTCCAGGGAGAATGCTCTGCTCTTCTTCCTGCTGGATCCCTCCTCTACCTGCTTCTCTCCCACCTCCTGCAGCCCCCGGAGCCCCGTGGCGATGCAGGCAGACTCATCTGTACCCTCATTCTGTTTGCAGAGCCACATCTCTGGGCTGGCTCTGCCCAAGGACACCACACCTTCTCCATTCCTCTTGCCCTTTCCCCGTGGGGTGCAGGTGGGGCTGGGCCCACGATGGCATCAGGCCCACTCTCTCTAATGCAGGAAGGGATCAGATGCCGGGAGCCATGGAGATTGTCCTCATCCCGATCATCTCCCATCTTAGCAAATGATGATGAAGACAGTTTTCCCACAAGATAGGCATAGCCTCTGGGACAGTGCCTCGTTTATTTTCTAGCACAAAATAGACGTTAGAACAGTGGGGCTTTGTGGGCATATGGAGATTTTTAAGGCTCCTTAGGAGGCAGGTAAAAATTTCTTCAATAAGACAAAACACTATCCCCAAAGAAAATGATTGATACATTGGATGATAGTAAAATTAAGAATTTTTTCATCAATAAGAGTAAAAAGATGGGGCCGGGTGTGGTGGCTCACGCTGTATCCCAGCACTTTGGGAGGCCAAGGCGGGAGGATCACTTGAGGTCAGGAGTTAGAGAACAGCCTGAGCAGCTTAGCAAGACCTCGTCTCTACAAAAAATGAAAAATTGGCTGGGCATGGTGGTGCATGCCTGTGGTCCCAGATACTTGGGAGGCTGAGGCAGGAGGAACACTTGAGCCTGGGAGGCTGAGGCTGCAGTGAGCCATGATTGTGCCACTGCACTGCAGCCTGGGTGACAGGGTGAGACTCTGTCTCTTAAAAAAAAGAGGTGGGGAATGGAGGAGGGTGAAAAGATAAATTACATGTAGAGTATAAAGAGAATTCCTGTAAGTTAATAAAAATGCATGCGGGGGCTTAATACCTAGGTGATGGGTTGATAAGTGCAGCAAACCACCATGGCACATGTTTACCTATGTAACAAACCTGCACGTTCTGTACATGTATCCCAGAACTTAAAGTAAAATTTTTTTTTTTTTTTGAGATGGAGTCTCGCTCTGTCGCCCAGGTGGATTGCAGTGGCGTGATCTCAGCTCATTGGAAGCTCTGCCTCCTGGGTTCACGCCATTCTCCTGCCTCAGCCTCCCGAGTAGCTGGGACTACAGGCACATGCCACCATGCCCAGCTAATTTTTGTATTTTTAGTAGAGACGGGGTTTCACCGTGTTAGCCAGGATGGTCTCGATCTCCTGACCTCGTGATCCACCTGCCTCGGCCTCCCAAAGTGCTGGGATTACAGGCATGAGCCACCGCGCCTGGCCTAAAGTAAAATAAATTTTTTAAAAAATTAAGAAAAAAGCTGGCAGACCAATAGGACAATGGGTGAAAGAAATGAAGAGGGACACAAAAGGGAAAGAAGAAAGGGAGGGAGGAGGGGGGAGGGAGGGAGGAGGGAGGGAAGGAGGGAGAGGAAAGAGCAAATGAACATCCAAATGGCCAAAAAGCATTTAAAACATGCTCAGCCTCATAAGCCATCAAATTTAAACCACAGTGAGAAATCAATATTACACCTACCAGAATGGCTAAAATTAAAAACACTGTTGATACCAAGTTTGGGCAAGAATGTGGAGTAACTGAAACTTCATATACTATTGGGAATGTAAAATAGCACAACTACTTTGGAAAACCCCTGGGTAATACCTACTAAAGGAGACCACACCTGTGATCCCCACATTCCACTCCTGTGCATAGACCCAAAAGAACTGTGCACTGTGCACGTGTTCACCAAATGACGTGCGACGTGCACTAGAATGTTTATACCAGCACCCTTCACAATAGCCCCAACTTCCAACAGGAGAATGGATAAGTACCTCTCAATATATTTATAGAGTAAAGTTCTTACAGCACTGAAAATGGATTAACAGCCGCCATGCACAGTTGGTGAATCTCAGCAACATAATGTTGAGCAGAAGCAGCCAGACACAAATGAATGCGTACAGCACGATTGTGTTTCTGCGAAGCCCTAAAACAGGCCAAAGAAACATCTGGTGAGAAGTCAGGATAGCGATGATCTTAGTGCTCTGGGGGAGGGTGGCTCTGGTATTATTCTATTTCTTGATCTGAGGGCTGGTGTCCCAGACGTATTCACTCTATGATAATTTACCAAGCTGCCCTCTGGGGACTGGTGGCTTCTCTGTATGAATATTACACTTCAATTAAAATAACAAAAACCTAACAGTCAAATTCAGAAATGAGTAAGGCCGGGCACGGTGGCTCATGCCTGTAATCCCAGCACTTTGGGAGGCCGAGGCAGGCAGATCACCTGAGGTCAGGAGTTTGAGACCAGCCTGGCCAACACGGTGAAACCCGTCTCTAGTAAAACTACAAAAATTAGCCGGGTGTGGTGGCACGTGCCCGTAATCTCAGCTATTTGGGAGGCTGAGGCAGGAGACTTGCTTAAACTTGGGAGGTGGAAGTTGCAGTGAGCCGAGATCACGCCACTGCACTCCAGCCTGGGTGACAGAGTGAGATTCTGTCTTAAAAAAAAAAAAGCAAACGAGCAAAGGACTTGAATGGACATTTTTCCATACTCAGCATCACTAATCATTAGGCAGATGGAAATGACAACGAGATTCCATTTCACTCCTACTACATTGACTAGTATCAAAGAAAACCCAGAAAATAACGAATGTTGGTGAAGATGTGGAGAGACTGGAACCCTTGTGCGCTGCTGGTGGGAATGTAAAATAGTGCCGCCCCTCTAGTAAACAGTAAGGCAGTTCCTCGGAAATTATACCTAGGGACGCTCCAGCAATTCCACTTCTGGGTTTATATCCCCCAAAAATTGAAAGCAAGGAAATAAAGAGACACCCATCCCTGTTGATAGCCGTGTTATTCAAAATAGATAAAAGGTGGGAGCAACTCATATCCATTGACAGACGAAGGGATCAATAACATGCGGTATGTACATACAATGGAATATTATTCAACCTTACAAAAAAAGGGTATTTGGACCTAGGCCTCAACATAAATGAATCTTGAGGACTATGCTGAATGACATAAGGCAGACACAAAAGGACAAATATTGTGTATTTCCACTCACATGAAGTACCTAGTATATTTCATAGAGACACAAAGTAGAATGTGTCTATGAAGTATACAGGGGCATGCTTGAAGTATACTAGGTCTAGTAGGAAGCCAGGGGCTGGAGGGAGGAGGGAAAGGGGAGTGGCTGTTTAACAGGCAGAGTTTCAGTGAGGATGAGGAACGACCTCCGGAGATGATGGAGGTGATGGTAGCATGCCAATTGAAGGCTCTTAACATTACTGAACACTTGAAATGATGCAGATGGGAAATTTCGTGTTACACATATTTTATCACAGTTTTTCAGGTAGTTGCCTTTTAAAAAAGTTCCTTCAGAATTTGTTTTCCTCCTTGACATGCATATTTGAACACTGGAGACAAAATTTCTGTATCGTTCTTGGTCAGCAAAATGTTTTGTAAAAGTGTCAGGAGGAGGCCAGGTGCGGTGGCTCACGCCTGTAATCCCAGCACTTTGAGAGGCCGAGGTGGGCAGATCACCTGAGGTCAGGAGTTCAAGACCAGCCTGGCCAACAAGGTGAAACCCTGTCTCTACTAAAAATACAAAAATTAGCCGGGTGTGTTGGTGCACAACTGTAGTTACAGCTATTTGGGAGGCTGAGGCAGGAGAATCGCTTGAACCTGGGAGGCGGAGGTTGCAGTGAGCTGAGATCGCACCACTGCACTCCAGCCTGGGTGACAGAGCAAGACCCTGTCTCAAAAATAAAATAGTAAAATTTAAAATTCAGGACCTCCTCACCAGAGCTATACTTTGAGTGCACAGTAGCCATATGTCTATACTGCAGAAAACATTTCCATCCTCCCAGAACCTTCTCTCATGCAGCTTCTGTGAGCCTCGCATCAGTTGTGTTCACTGAACTCATCTAACTCAAAGCACATGCATCAAAGCTGGAATTTCAGGGTTATCGGTTTGCAGGTGAGAGCCGTAATGGTCCAGTGGAAGTGTACAGCTGGAAGGGAATGTCGTCAGCTCCTCCCTCTCACCTGAAGGCTCTCGACTATGAGCCGTGCCTTGTTGACAGCCTCTGAGTCCACAGAGCACAGGGAGAATCTGAGGACACAGGACAAGGCAGGGGACCTTGTGTCCTCCACGTGGTTGCACATAGAGTAGAAGAGCTGGGTGAGTAACTCTCTGGAATCACCTTTCTGCTGATGTTTGTGTCTCTACAGATGGGCTCAAGGACAGCTTGCCTGACTGCAGCCATAAGGATGAAGCCTCTTCAGGTAGAGGACTCCAGGTGGGGCCTGTGCAGAGGGTTCTTACGGGCGCAGTAGGATTGGGGCTATAAAATCAGTAAATGGAAAAGGAGCCAGGTGCAGAAGTCTGATTTATTCCTTTTTTTTTTCTTTTTCTTTTTGGAGACAGGGTCTTACTCTGTCACCCAGGCTAGAGTGCAGTCAGTGTGCCACTGTGGCTCAACCTCCGTCTCCTGGGCTCAATCAATCGTTCCACCTCAGCCTCCAGAAAGTAGCTGAGAATACAGGTGCATGCCACCATGCTTGGCTAAGTTTTGTACTTTTTGTAGAGACAGGGTTTCGCCATGTTGCCCAGGCTAGTCTTGAAATCCTGGACTCGAGATCTGTTCACCTCGGCCTCCCAAAGTGCTGGGATTATAGGCAAGAGCCACCGAGCCCGGCCTCCTTTTGTATTTTAATTAAGACAGAGTCCTAAGAGGTTGTGTTTGCATGGATGTTGTGTGTGCTCTGCTTGTCATATTCATTTCTTGCTCTGGTGTTTAAAGATGACCTTTTGCAGAAAACCAGATCTTTCCTGCCTGTGCCACAGAAAGCACTAAATCCTTGGGTTTTGATGGGATGGCATCCTTTGTGAATGGAGAACACGGGATTAGTATGTGGGTGTGGCGTTTGGTGCTATGCGGGGAGTGATGTGGGACACAGCCCCTCACAGCCCCTAAGTCTCCCTGGAGACAAAGTCTCCCACGTGTGTGCCAGGAGGTGGGAGGAGTCCACCCTCTCCCTCTGCACCCTTGGGACCTGCAGCAGCACCTTCCTGTCCCGTCCTCACCATCGGCTCCGGGTTGAAAGGCACCCACAGGGTTGGATGATGCAGAGAATCCTTCCTCTGGGATGAATATGTATGCCCCGGCTGTGGAGGCACGAGGGGAAGCCCACGCTTCACCCGCCGTGGGGTCGCGAGGGGAAGCCCACGCTTCAGCATGTTTCTGGCCACTCCTCACCCAATCCCAAATCCTTGGGTTAGGAATGAAGCCTTAATTGGGTTTCATTTGAGAAGTCAGTGTCCAGCTGTCACCGAGGCCCTCCGTGGCTGGCAGGAATCCTAGGGGACATGCGTGGAGGGGCTGCTGTGTTGCTGCAGGCACTGGCTCTCACCCTCCCCGTGACCTGGCTCCAGGAATCCACCACGCCCAGGACGGGGCCACTGGGCAGCCGGCACAGGGCTCAATTTTTTGTCACGCCCTTTGCTCTGGCCTGGCAGCCTTGTCCTGTTCCCCACGCTGCCATCAGGCCCAGCGTGTTCCCTGGGTCAGGCCGGCCAGGTGCCCTTCCGCCCAGTCCTCCCACAGCTCAGGCAAACCCTGGCAGGGCCCCTTCGTTCATATGCTAACAACCACGGCTTCACCTGCGGATTAAGGCAATGGGAAAACGGGCTTTCCCTGGAATCCCGTTCTGTCCTTGCCAATCATTGAGATGCTAGTGGGATTCTTGTTAGGCTTGAATAGTTTACATTTCCAGGGTCATCCCAGGCTTTGGTCATCATCATCTCTCACAGATCCCAACACAACCCAGGCCTGTGGCCATGTCCCTGACCTAGGGTGGGATCCATGGATTTACTGGAAGGACTGGCAGTGCCCTTCTTTCCAATGTTGTTCTATTGGAGACCAGTAGCACTGGTGGAGGTTGACATGGAGAAAGGAAACGGGCATCAATCAGGAGAACAAAATCAGGCCCTAACAGTTAGAGCAGAGAGGGAAGTCTGTGCCAGGCACAGAGCATCATGGAGACAGTGGCCGCCTCCTGGGGAAAGGGGATGACACGGGCCTCCCCTCCCTGGGGAATTTGAGGGTTATGGAATTTGAAGGCTGGGAAAGCATGTGGGAAATCAGAGGCCCCTCCCTCGCTGTAGGGAGGAAGTGATCCAGGCTGTGGAGAGGACTCTAGAGATGAGCACACTAGAGCCTCTGGGGTTGGCGTCACAGCCCCAGGACAGCGGGGCCCAAATGGCCCCTCGACTCTAACTCTCCCCTTTCCTTCCCATGGCTGCCCCATCACCGCTGCTGCTCCGGACACCCTGAAGGTCATTTGGCCAATTTAATGCCGACAGAAGAGGCCACCATCTGAATGTAATTTATCTCCTCTTTCATCTCCTTTCATTCCCCTCCTCCTTTTTTTTTTTTTTTTGGGACAGAGTCTCACTCTGTTGCCCAGGCTGGAGTGCAGTGGCGTGATCTTGGCTCACTGCAAGCTCTGCCTCCCAGGTTCACGCCATTCTCCTGCCTCAGCCTCCTGAGTAGCTGGGACTACAGGCACCCGCCACCACGCCCAGCTAATTTTTTGTGTTTTTAGTAGAGACGAGGTTTAGCGTGTCTATGTGACACCCCAGGATTTTAGCAGATACACAAGTGAAAAACCATGTTGCTAAAAAGTATTTCCCATCTTCCAATTTTCTTATCATCATCTTGGAAATAAAATCTGTACGTACTTGGGAATAAAATTTATTGAATTATCAAAAATATGTATGCTAATGTATGTGAGTCATTAGCTATATCCACATTGACATAAAATTTGTGAAGACTCTTCAAAATCTCTTAAAGATTTATTTGGCTGGGCGCGGTGGCTCACGCCTGTAATCCCAGCAGTTTGGGAGGCTGAGGCAGGCGGATCATGAGGTCAGGAGATGGAGACCATCCTGGCTAACACGGTGAAACCCCGTCTCTACTAAAAATACAAAAAACTAGCTGGGCGTGGTGGCGCGCGCCTGTAGTCCCAGCTACTCGGGAGGCTGAGGCAGGAGAATGGCGTGAACCCGGGAGGCGGAGCTCGGAGTGAGCCGAGATCACGCCACTGCACTCCAGCCTGGGTGACAGAGCGAGGACTCTGTCTCAAAAAAAGGAAAAATAAAAACACGAGAACGTACTGCAGGAGAAAACAGGCCTGGCCTGAGACGGCTGTGCCGGCTTTCTGAGGCCGTGAATGGCAAGACCTCGAGACTGTCAAGAGGAGCAAGAGGAGTCAGTGGGATTTAGCGTCAGTGATGAGGTGCGCCACTCACTGTGTGACTTCAGAGTGTTTCTGGGGAAAGAAAATGAAGTCCTGTGAAGTATGCGGAGCACCCTCAGCAGCAGCCGTGGATCTGAACAGCCTCCCAGACACAGACGCCATGGGTGTGAAGTGTGTCAGGAACAAGCGAAGTCACCCACAATGGAGAGGAACACCCTAGTGTGCTAGAACTTTTGAACCACTTTTCCTCCTGTCTTGGGTCAGGCCTCATAGCTAACCCTTTGGTGCGCGGTACTCTCTCTGGCTATTGGAGAGATGTGAGAAGCTTAAGAAAAGCAAATGAGAAGACGTGGAGCAGGCAGATGGCCGGTCCCCATGGAAGAGTCCCCATTGTGAGGCCTCCCTGGGGATCTGGTGGTGGCCACAACACACTGGCCGGTGAGATTGGTTGTGATTGTCATTGTTGTGGAAAATGATTATCATCTGTCCTCAATGGTGCCAATGCTGACTCACCTGGAGGTGGAATGATGGCCATGGTGACACTGAGTCAGCACTTATTAGGTTCCACGTGTACATGGTCAAGTTTTCCTGTGGTTTTTCTCAGAAAGGAGCCATGATCCTGCAACAGTGAAACAGGAAAAGTGCTAACAAAACTGACTCCATTTTTATTTAATGGGCTTTTTCTCATCCCTGCATATAAGCTAGCATAATTTTAGAGCGCTAAGATAAAACGCAAAAGCGGTAATCATGTAGTTTTTGCAACTAACTGTGGGATTAATGGAAAGTATGTAAACAGCTAACTGTGGTTTGTTAAAGATTTATAGGAGCATTGTGATCTGACCAAGGAGAAAGAAGGTCCCAGCCTCCTGGGACCATTGCTGACACCTGGATGTGTGAGGTAGTCAGGTACCTGTTGATCCCAACCCTCTCCTCTTCCACCCTCCGTTGAACCAGATAAGCGCTTGTCAGTGCTGTTTTGGGAGTATTCTGCCCTGTGGTTAAATAGGTGTGAGTGCTGGAGAGTCCTGCAGCAATCTGGGGCTTTCTGGTGCTGTGAAGACAGTTACTCTAAAAGTCTTGATGCCATCTCTGCACTTGGGTACAGTCGTGTGACTCTGGGTTTATGACAGATCCTTCAGCTACCCTACCTGCCACTCCATATCTGCTGAGATTTTCTTTCTTTCTTCTTTTGTTTTTGTTTTTGTTTTGGGACGGAATCTCGCTCTGTTGCCAGGCTGGAGTGCAGTAGCATGATCTCAGCTCACTATAACCTCTGTCTCCAGGGTTCGAGTGATTCTCCTGCCTCAGCCTCCCGAGTAGCTGGGATTACAGGCGCCCACCACCACATCTAGCTAATTTTTGTATTTTTAGTAGACACAGGGTTTCACCACGTTGGCCAGGATGGGTCTCGATCTCTTCACCTCATGATCCGCCCGCCTCGGCCTCCCAAAGTACTGGGATTACAGGTGTGAGCCACCGCGCCCGGCTGAGATTTTCATAATGTGTTTGAGACATGCTGTTTATTTCTTCTTTTTTTTTTACTTTTAATTGAAATATTGTATACATAGCAAAAAGTCATTCCTGTCATAAATGTACAGCTCAATGAATTTTCATGAAATTTAATCATTAACCAGATTGAAATGAAAACCACAACAAAACCCATGACTGGAAGCCATCCCCGATAAGTCTTCTGCGGCCAGCTTCCTGTGGTGAGCCTCCCCATCAAGGGTAACTGCAGCCTCCTTGGAAATAAAGGAGATCAGGACTCCTTTTGTGTGAGCTTCATTTACTCTGTTTTGCGAGATTGGCCCACGTTGTCGCATGTGTTTAAGGATCTGTCCTTCCCGCGGGGACACAGCGTGCCAGGGCTGAAATGTCCTAGAATCTGTTCACAGGTTCTACTGTCAGTGAGGGTTTGGGTGGTTATGGCTTTGGGAGGTGATGAAAGTGCTGCTTTCCTGTGAGTGTCTTTGGGGAGCACACACGCTCTTTTCTGCCGGATATTCTCCACCCAAGGGGTCGCCGGTCATCGCAGATGTGCTTGTCCACTTTCAGCAGCTACTGACAGAGTTTCCCAGGTGGAGCGTGCAACGGATATCACGCCAGCTGAGGAAGACAGTTTGGTTGCTCCCCAGCCTCTCCAACAATTGGTATTTTCTGATGTCTTCATTCTGGCCATGCTGAGGGATGCATTAAAAGCACATAGAAAGTCCAGATGCCTCTGGGCAGCTCACAGATTCTGAATGTTGGGAGACAAGGACAACTGTCAATCTCTGTCAGTGCTAGGACTGATTCTCAGTATCTGACCCAAAACTAGGAACTGAGGCGATGGTTTGTGGTATTCGATAACGTTGTCAGCATATGCCCTAGAAGTGCTCAAATCCTGGCACATACACAACCTAGGGACGGGACAAACGTGAACTCGGCATGGTCGGTTATAGCTTGCGTCTAGCACCTTGTTTTTGCAACTCTCATGTCCAGCTGGGGTGGGGCCATGCACGGGCAGCATCCCGATGTCCCACCACCGCCCCGTCCACCCAGCTCCTCCAGAGGATGAATTACAGTGGCTTCCTAGTGGCAGGACAGATGAGGGGTCCCATCTAATGCCAGGTTAAGATTGTCTTTCTTTTTCTGAGGTAGAAGCGGTGCTTTGCCGTTTTATCAATTGAGTTCAGTTATGGAAACGTGGCCACATACATTACAGAGGTTAGCGGCTGTTTCCTCAAGGGCTTGGGAAAGAAGTCTCTTACCAAACGAGGCCTGATTCAGGAGGGCACATAAGCCGGGTTGTGTCAGGTTCTTCACTGTGCATAGAGAGCCTTTTCCTCAGTAGCAATTATTTCCTCCGTGGGTTAATAATTTTGCAACTGCTGATTGAAATAAACATGACAGGCCGGGCGTGGTGGCCTATAATCCCAGCACTTGGGAGGCCTAGGCGAGTGGATCACCTGAGGTCAGGAGTTCATGACCAGCCTCGTCAATATGGCGAAATCCCATCTCTACTAAAAATGCCAAAATTAGCCAGGCGTCGTGGCACATGCCTGTAATCCCAGCTACTTGGGAGGCTGAGGCAAGAGAACTTCTTGAACCCGGGAGGTGGAGGTTGTAGTGAGCCGAGATTGCACCACTGCACTCCAGTCTGGTTGACGGAGACTCCACCTCAAAAAACAAACAAACAAACAAAAAAAACAAAAAACAATAGACATGACAGACACATTCTCCAGCAAAAGTCTGCCCTATGACAGGAGTAGGTTTTCTCTACCCTTGCTTTTAGATTCCTTTGACTTGGCCGGGCACAGTGGCTCACGCCTGTAATCCCAGCACTTTGAGAGGCCAAGGTGGGCAGATCATGAGGCCAGGAGATAGAGACCATCCTGACCAACATGGTGAAACCCCGTCTCTGCTAAAATACAAAAAATTAGCTAGGCGTGGTGGCACGTGCCTGTAGTCCCAGCTATGCAGGAGGCTGAGGCAGAGAATTCGCTTGAACCTGGGAGGCGTAGGTTGCAGTGAGCCAAGATCACGCCACTGCACTCCAGCCTGGGGGACAGAGCAAGACTCTGTCTCAAAAAAAAAAAAAAAAGAAAAAAGAAAAAAATAGATTCCTTTGACTTGACCCCTATTTATCCTCTTGTTTTATAAAGTCAACAGGAAGAAACAAACAAACAAACAACAAAAAAAAAACCCACCTGTGCTTAGAGAACACATCGGAACCTATGGTACTGTAGTGCCTTCTTTTCTGTCACTGTAGGTGGCCTCAGAGGGGAAAATTCATGCATATTCTGCATGTGCCACTTGTGAAGGAGAAATCTAGATGATAGGGAAGGTGAGTCTTCCTTGCTGGCTTTCGTCTGGGGAGCCACCCTGACTCCAGCTTTCTGGTTAGAATGAGGATTGGTGGTGATGAAGGAACATTATTTTCCAGGTAAAGCACTGTGACCGTGTTTCCACAAGCAGTTGCGTTTCCTTTAGCTGGTATGAGTTTGTGCGCGTGGACGGTGGGGTGTGTCTGTGTGGGGTGGGATTTGTGTGGGGCGGCCGTGTGTCTGTGCCCACGTCTGTTTCCGCTGGTGTTATACTCCGCCTAGACAGCAGAGTTGCAGGTGTAAGCTTTCTCAACAAGGAATGCCGTCCCCATTACTCCACAGCGTATATGTGGAGCCTAACCGGGTGGACTGCAAGGCAGTTCCGACCCTCACCACTCAGGGTTAGCACCAGATTCCACAACTCCAGAGCTGAGTCCCACAAAACTGCCCTTACTTCAGACACCAGCTGAACTTTGGGAGTCCCCAAGCCACCTGCACTTCTGACAAACTGGCTATAAATTCAAGGATTACCATGACTTCCTCAGGTTCAAAACTTCACTAGAAATGACTCAGAGAATTCAGAAAAGGGCTATATTTACAATTTGATTAGAAATGATCTGCATAGAGCAAGGCGTATGGGGCTGGGGGGTCCTGGATGCATGGCTTCCATGCCTTCTGTCTGGGGAATCGGGTGGCGTGCTGGGGGTGGGTTCCAGGTCACAGTTGGATTCAAAGGTTTCTTGATTGGCAGTTGGTTGAAAGGGTTAAACTCTGTCTTAAAAGTTGAAATCAGCTTCAATTAGGTAACATGGTGTGGTCGGGGGTGGGAGTTTGGGAAGTTGTGGGAGCCAAGGTTCTTGTCACGTAAATGACACTTCCAGGCAGAGGGCTTCAGAGAGGATAGACGTAAACGTCTCTTATTGGACTTAAAAGGTAACAGACTTTCTGGAAAGACCTAGTGATGGAGCCATATGCTCTACAGATTGCAAATTTCCCACAAAGAGACAGCTGTGTTGGGCCATTCCAAAAAATGTCAGAGAAATCTGTCTCGGGGTAAAATACTCAGACTTCCTTCAGGACCTGCTTTCAGGTGATGCTATACCAGAGCGCATTTGAAGTTGGGTATCTTATTGCTACAAGGCGTTTCTTCCGTCAGTCTTAGGATCTCTATTTTCATGTCACTGCTGCTCAGTTGGGTCTGAACCACAAAGGGTGGAGGGAATACTGAGGCGTGCCCGACCCCTCTTCTCCCTCATGGCCTGAATGAAGTTTTCAGGTTTATTTGGGTCCCCTTGGCTGAGAGGAGGATCCGTTCAGTTCATTGAGGGGCTTAGAAATTTAATTTTAATTTACATTGTAAAGTGTAAACATATACAATGTTGATCAGTTATACCTGAATAGAGCTGAGGGAAAAGAGAATAAAAGGAACCATGACTAACAACAATGAAAAGAAATGGAAGCTGAGTCACATTTAAAATATTTATTAATCTGTTTTCAAATAACAGAAACAAGACCATTACAGAGCAACATAAATAGCATCTTTTTGTGAAAAATATTTTCCAAAGCAAAAGTGATTTGTGGGAAAAGTGGCATTGCTTTCCCATTCTCCGAGAGTCTGTCACATCTGACAACAGGAGCTGGGACCCTGTGCCTGCCTCAGTCGGGGCACCGCACTCCCCACAGCACACAGCCTCTGGGCACTTGGCCAGGCATAGTAGCTCATACTTGTAAACCCAATTTTTTCCTTCCTCCCTCCCTTCCTTCTTTCATCTCTCTCTCTCTCTCTCCCCCCGCTTTTTTTTTTTTTTTTTTAAGATGGAGTCTGGCTCTGTTACCCAGGCCGGAGCCTAATCTCGCCTCACTGCAACCTTTGCATCCCAGGTTCAAGCAATTCTCCTTCCTCAACCTCCCAAGTAGCTGGGATTACAGGCATGCAACGTGATGCCCAGGTAATTTTTGTATTTTTAGCAGAGACGGGGTTTTGCCACGTTGGCCAGGCTGGTCTCCAGCTCCAGATCTCAGGTGATCTGCCTGCCTCGGCCTCCCAAAGTGCTGGGATTACAGGCATAAGCCACCACACCTGGCCCCAGTTTTCAATCATAAGGTACTATTCCCAAAATATGAAATGCTAAATGTCTCATATCACCTTTGGCATTCAAATGTCCAACATCTCAGCGTTTTGTCTTATTAAAGACTGCAAAAATGTACAAGACTTTAAAACCATGAAATTAACTAAGTAAAACTAAGGAGACCCAAATAAAATTCAATGTACTTAAGGTTCAGTGCAGCTATAACAGAATATCTAAGACTGGGTAATTTTATTATTATTATTATTATTAATTTTATTTTTTTTTTGAGACAGAGTCTCGCTCTCTCACCCAGGCTGGAGTGCAGTGGTGCAATCTTGGCTCACTGCAAGCTATGCCTCCTGGGTTCACGCCATTCTCCTGCCTCAGCCTCCCGAGTAGCTGGGACTACAGGCGCCCGCCACCACGCCCAGCTAATTTTGTGTATTTTTAGCGGAGACAGGGTTTCACTGTGTTGGCCAGGATGGTCTCAATCTCCTGACCTTGTGATCCGCCCGCCTCGGCCTCCCAAAATGCTGCGATTAGAGGCGTGAGCCACCGCACCAGGCCAAGACTGGGTAGTTTATTTTTAAAAAAGAGGCTTTTTTGGCTCAATATTCTGGTGACTGGAAAGTCTGAGATTGGGCAGTGCACACGGTGAGGGGCTTGTGCTGCTCCAACTCCTGGCAGAACGTGGAAGGGGAAACCAGCACAGGCAAGGAGAGCACATGGCAAGAGAGGAAGCAAGAGGGTCCAGGAAGCCAAACTCACTTCCATAACACCCCACGCCTGGTAACTCATCCAGTCCCACGAGACAGCGTTCATCTATTCATGAAGGGTCTGCCCATCACCCAAATACCTCCCACTAGCCCCCACCTCCCACCACCACCACATCGGGAATCAAATTTCAACATGTGTTTTGGTGGGGACAAACCACATCCACACCGTAGCATACACCCCACCCTGTGGGGCCATGCTGCTGTGTCCTGCCCCTCCCAGTTGCTGTGGCACCCTAGCCGTTGGGGCCTGAGCTGATTTGTGCCCTGCTTTCCAGAGAATCAATGCCTTGGTCAGCCAGAGAAATCACAGTCCCTAATGCAAGAGCTGAACAAGTGCCTCACTTGATGGGAAGTCCCCAGGCTGAGCTGAGACGGATGGAAAAGAAAGCTCCTCTAAATAATAAAGTCCGCCTCTAAAAAACCCACAGCTAACATCATAATCAATGGGGAACAATTGAAAGTCTTTCCACTAAGATTGAGTTCAAGACAGGGATGCCTAGCCTTGTCACTTTTATTCAACATAGTACTGGAAGTACTAGCAAGAGCAATTGGACAAATTTAAAAAAAGGCAACTAAAAAAAGAAACAAATTATCTCTATTTGCAGATGACATGATCCATATGAAAAAACCTCAGATTTCCCATAAGAAAATGTTAAAACTAAATGAATTCAGTAAAGTTGCAGCATACAAACTCAACATACAAAAATCAGGAGCGTTTCTATACACAAATAACAATCTAGCTGAAAAACAAATCAAGAAAACAATCCCATTTACAGTAGCACCAATCAAAATAAAATACTTAGGAATAAATTTAGACAAGAAGGTGAAAGACTAGTACACTGAAAACTATAAAACACCGATGAGAGAAATTTAAGAATACACAAACAATGTAAAAACATCCCACATTTCTGAATTGGAAGAATTAAAATTGTTAAAATGGCATGCTATCCAAAGCAAATATACAGTTTTTAAGACAATCCCTATCAAAATTCTAATCGCATTTTTCACAGACATAGAAAAATACAATCCTGCAATTGACATGGAACCACAAAAAACCCCAAGCTAACACAATACAGAGGAAAAAAATTAGTGCTGGAGGCATAACACTACGTGATTTAAAATTACATACAAAGCTATAGTAATAAGAACAATATATGGTATTGGCATCAAAACAAAAACATAGACCAATGGAACAGAATAAGAAGCCTAGAAATAAATCAAAACATACACTGTCAACTAACTTTCAACAAGAGCAACCAAGAGGACACAGTGGAAAAAAGACAGTTTCTTCAATAAATGATGCTGTAAAACTGGATTTTCACAGGCCAAACCATGAAATTGGGCCCTTATCTTACACCCTATAGAAAATCAACTCAAACTAGATAAAAGACATAAATAAGATATGAAACCATGAAACTCCTAGAAGAGAATGTAGGGGACAGCCCCCTCGACGCTGGCCTTAGCAATGATTTTTCAGATAATCCACCAAAAGCCAGGCTGCATGCAAAAGTCAACAAGGAGGACCGCATCAAACTAAAACCCTTCTGCGCAGCAAAGGAAACAATCAAAAAAAGGCAACCTACAAACTGGGAAAAATATTTGCAAGTCACTAACTGATCAAGGGCTAATATCCAAAATCAATGAAGAACCCTTACAACTTAAGCAGACAAATAACCCTGTTAAAAAGCTAACAAGAGACCTGAACAGACATTTCTCCAAAGACGACAAAAACAATCAGCAGGAAGTGGGGAGATGAAGGCCAAAACACGCAAAGTAGCAGACGTCGGATGAACAAGGCCAGAGACCTAATGTATAACATGAGGACACTGTCTTGGGATTTTTGTTGAGTAAGTAGATTTTCGCTGCCCTTGACACACAAAAAAGTACCTATGTGAGATGGTAGGTATGTGAACTTGCTGACTATAGTAACCATTTTACTACTGACGTGTACCTTTGACATCATGCTGTCACCTCAAATATACACAGTAACATTTAGTTTTAAAAAAGAAAAGTTTGGCCAGGAGTGGTGACTCATGCCTGTAATCCCAGCACGTTGGGAGGCTGAGGTGGGTGAATCAACCTGAGGTCAGGCGTTTGAGACCAGCCTGGCCAACATGGTGAAACCCCGTCTCTACGGAAAATACAAAAATTAGCCGGGTGTGGTGGTGGATGCCCGTAATCGCAGTTATTCAGGAGGCTGAGGCAGGAGAAGTGCTTAACCCCGGGAGGCAGAGGTTGCAGTGGGCTGAGATTGCGCCGCCGCTCTCCAGCCTGGGTGACAGAGTGAAACTCCATCTTGAAAAAAGAAACAAAAAAGTTGGCGGGGGGCGGAGCTCGGCGGAGACGGGAAGGGGTCGCCGTGGCTGCCGCTCCTCGAGTTGGGGGCCCCCTCGGACACCGCCAGGCAGACGGCGAGTACCGAGCGTGGGTGGCCGCGGTGTCCGTGGGCCACGCTCAGCTGCGGTCAGAGGCGACATGAGCGCCGCGGGGCTGCTGGCCCCGGCCCCGCCCGGGCTGGAGCGTCCCCGGGGAGGACGAAGAGCTGGAGAGCGCCAAGGACGACGAGCGCAGCTGCCGGGCCGCGAGTCGGACGAAGACACTGAGGATGCTAGTGAAACTGACCTGGCAAAGCATGATGAAGAAGACTATGGGGAAGTGAAGGAACAGATGTATCAGGACAAACTGGCTTCTCTCGAGAGGCAGTTGCAACAACTACAAGAAGGTACATTACAGGAATATCAGAAGAGAATGAAAAAACTAGGTCAGCAGTACAAAGAGAGGATACGGAATGCTGAACTCTTCCTCCAGCTGGAAACTGAACAAGTGGGACGAAATTACATGAAAGAAAAGAAGGCAGCAGTGAAAGAATTTGAAGACAAGAAGGTTGAGCTGAAAGAGAACCTGATTGCTGAGCTAGCAGAAGAGAAGAAAATGATTGAAAACGAAATGCTGACAATGGAACTGAATGGAGATTCTATGCAGGTGAGACCTATCATGACCAGAAAGTTGCGGAGGCGACCAAATGATCCCGTCCCCATCCCAGACAAGAGGAGGAAACCTGCTCCAGCCCAGCTAAACTATTTGTTAACAGATGAACAGATCATGGAGGATCTGAGAACATTAAATAAGCTTAAGTCACCCAAGAGACCAGCATCTCCATCCTCTCCTGAGCACTTGCCTGCGACACCCGCGGAATCTCCAGCCCAGAGGTTTGAAGCTCGGATAGAAGATGGCAAACTGCACTATGACAAAAGATGGTACCACAAGAGCCAGGCCATCTATCTGGAGTCAAAGGACAACCAGAAACTGAGCTGCGTGATCAGTTCTGTAGGAGCCAATGAGATCTGGGTGAGGAAGACAAGTGACAGCACCAAGATGAGGATCTACCTGGGCCAGCTTCAGCGCGGGCTCTTCGTCATCCACCGGCGCTCAGCTGCTTGACTTTCTACAGTGCTCTTCTCTTGACCCTTTTTCTGGAGTGGGTTTTATTTTTGTTTTGTTTTGTTTTCTTCTTAACAGAAAAATGTTAACTTACTGGGAGTAGCTACTCAGCCTTAGAAATGGAGAGCATTGTAGTGGATTCTTTAAGGCACTTTTGTGGCCAGCCCCTTCCAACTTCCTCAGTCTTTTCTGCCTCAACTTCTTCCAGACATCAGTCACCATGAGACTGTTTTACTTTCAGGAGTATTGGGGGGTTTGATTTACTTTCCTTTTATTTCTTTGTTTTTTGCTTATACTTGTTTTTGAAAACCTCCTCTGAGTTTGAAGGGACAGCTATTTTTATTAATTATCTTTAAGTCTCTCTGCCATGGAGAAGAGCAGGAAGGCATACACTGTCCAGTGCATTTTCATTAGTGGATCACGTAGCTACTTTCCCTGTCGAGTCCAATTCACTATTTCCTCAGAAGCTTGGGGCAGAGGTCCTAGCAGAAGGAGATGAATTCTCCTGGCTCTCAGCCTTC
This sequence comes from Homo sapiens, assembly GCF_000001405.40. Classification (NCBI taxonomy): domain Eukaryota; kingdom Metazoa; phylum Chordata; class Mammalia; order Primates; family Hominidae; genus Homo; species Homo sapiens. The sequence continues at coordinate 110,416 of NT_187546.1, forward strand.
TTGGAGAAATAAATGCTTTGTGTAACATCTGGCGCATGCCATCCATTCCACTGGCTGAGCGATGGAAAAGCTTGCCTGGGAGACTCTGTGCACTGAAGTAAATGGGGTTGGGGGAGGGGACATTTCATATTTATAATGTGCTGAAGGTACCATATTTTAAATGTTATTTAATGCGGTGATTTATTCAAACATTTATTCTAGCTTAAGCTGGAATAAGAAGTGGTCATTTCAGAAGTTTTCATTTGTAATTCCTTCCTCTCCCTTGTTCCCAAGTAGGTAGTAGTAGTATGTGCCACAGGCTGATTATCTGGGTAATCTCTTGTGGGTGGGAGGTGAGATTGATAGTGCAGTAATCAGTGATCTATAGACCCGCATGCACGATTCAAGTTTCACTCTTGTGGCTGATGCCATCATTGCACATTGGCCATTCCAAACCTGCGGAGAACTTTGTTGTCAGGCCCTCAGCACTCAGAGCTTCATTTGGCCCAGGTTGAAGACAAGGAAAGCTCTGCCGTGGCTGCCTCTGCACTGACACCCTCCCTAATGAGTCCTGATGAAACAGCCTTTCCTACATCCTTCCCTCATTCCCATGATTGGAGAAATGATTCATTGGGTGATGAGTGTTGGGGTTTTCCATACTCATGTTGCCATCTTGAGATGTTTAAAAAATTTGGGGTTAGAGCAACTGTTAGCGTCTCCATGGGCAATCAGTAGAACTTACACATTCCAGGAAATCTTTCTTTGTAAGTAATTCTTTTGGTCTCAAGTGATTCCCTTCAAGTTGTCTCTTGATGTACAAACCCCAAAGCAAGTTGGGGGGCTGTGATGACAATTAAATCACCTTCTCTGAAGTTCTGGCTCTACAGAGACCAGAACTTACTGACTTGTGCAGACTTGTACAGGTAAAGACTTATACAGATAGATTTTTGTTTTAACTTATAATCTGTTTTTTCCTCTTTTTTTTTTTTCTGGTGTTGGAGTCTTATTTAGAAAACAGGATAAATGACGCTGTTATAAAAAAAAAAATTATCTCCAATCGAGAGAAAACCACTATTACCATGTTTTGTGTTCCTTTCCAAAATATTTTATGAATAAACAATTGTTCAGTCAAATTTATTTTTATTTTATTTTATATATATATTTTTATTATACTTTAAATTCTAGGATACATGTGCACAACGTGCAGGTTTGTTACATATGTATACATGTGCCATGTTGGTGTGCTGCACCCATTAACTCGTCATTTACATTAGGCATATCCTAAGGCTATCCCTCCCCCCTCCCCCCACCCCACAACAGGCCCCGGTGTGTGATGTTCCCCTTACTGTGTCCAAGTGTTCTCATTGTTCAATTCCCACCTATGAGTGAGAACATGCAGTGTTTGGTGTTTTGTCCTTGTGATAGTTTGCTGAGAATGATGGTTTCCAGCTTCATCCATGTCCCTACAAAGGACATGAACTCATCCTTTTTTATGGCTGCATAGTATTCCATGGTGTATATATGCCACATTTTCTTAATTCAGTCTATCATTGTTGGACATTTGGGTTGGTTCCAAGTCTTTGCTATTGTGGGTAGTGCCGCAATGTGAGACCTTATACCTGAAAATTCGAAGCATGTAACACATTACCTATAAAAGTGTCTGATCTCCTCTTTTCCTGTTTGAATGCCCTTTATTCATTTCTCTTGTCTGGTTGTTGTGGCCAGGATTTCTGATGTTGAAAAGGAGTGGTGAGAGAGGTGATCCTTATCTTGTGCTGGTTTTCAAGGGGAATGCTTCCACCTTTTGTCCATTCAGTACGATGTTGGCTGTGGGTTTGTGACAGATGGCTCTTGTTATTTATTTATTTATTTTTTGAGATGGAGTTCCACTCTTCTTGCCCAAGCTAGAGTGCAATGGCACGATCTTGGCTTACTGCAACCTCCGCCTAATGGGTGCAAGTGATTCTCCTGCCTCAGCCTACCTAGTAGCTGTGATTACAGGCACGCGCCACCAATCCTGGCTAATTTTTTTTGTATTTTTAGTAGAAATGGGGTTTTACCATGTTCGCCAGGCTGGTCTCGAACTCCTGACCTCAGGTGATCTGCCCGCTTCGGCCTCCCAGAGTGCTGGGATTACAGGCATGAGCCACCGTGCCCAGCCCATGGCTCTTGTTATTTTGAGGTATGTTCCTGCAATACCTAGTTTATTGAGTTTTTAATATGAAGGGATGTTGAATTTTATCAAAAGCCTTTTCTGCATCTATTGATATGATCATGTGGTTTTTGTCTTTAGTTCTGTTTATGCAATGAATCACATTTATTGATTTGCATATGTTGAACCAGCCTTGCATCCTGAGGATGAAGCCTACTTCATCATGGTGGACAAGCTTTTTGATATGCTGCTGGATTTGGTGTGCTAATATTTTGTTGAGGATTTTTACATCAATGTTAACCAAGGATATTGGCCTGAAGTTTTCTTTTTTGTTGTGTCTCTGCGAGGTTTTGGTATTAGGATGCAGACAACATGATTCTACGTCTGGAAAACCCCATATTCTTGGCCCCAAAGCTTCTTAAGCTGATAAACAACTTCAGCAAAGTTTCAGGATACAAAATCAACATACAAAAAAAATCACTAGCATTCTTATACACCAGCAACAGCCAAACCAGGAACCAAATCAAAACTCAATTCCATTCACAATCACCACACACACACACTCCTAGAAATACAGCTAACCAGGAAAGTGAAAGATCTCTACAAGGAGAATTATACAACACTGCTCAAAGAAATTAGAGATGATACAAACAAATGGGAAAACATTTCATACTCATAGATAGAAAAATTGCCCAAAGCAATTTATAGATTCAATGCTATTCCTATCAAACCACTAATGATATTCTTCACAGAAATATAAAAAACTATTTCAAAGTTTATATAGAACCAAAAAGGATCCCAAATGGCCAAGACAATTCTAAGCAAAAAGAACAAAGTTGGAAACATCACACTACCCAACTTCAAACTACACTACAGGGCTATAGTAACCAAAACAGCATGGTACTGGTATAAAAAAAGACACATAGGCCAATGAAACAGAATAGAGGATCTAGAAATAAGGCCACATACCTATGATCATCTGATCTTCAACAAAGCTGACAAAAACAAGCAATGGAGAAAGGACTTCCTATTCAATAAATGGTGCTGAGATAACGGGCTAGCCATATGTAGAAGATTGAAACTGGATCTCTTTCTTACACCATATACAAAATCAACTCAGGGTGGATTAAAGAATTAAATGAAAACCCAAAACTATAAAAACTCTGGAAGGCAACCTAGGTAATACCATTTTGAACATAGGAACTGGCAAAGATATCGTGATGAAGACGCCAAAAACAATTGCAACAAAAGCAAAAATTGACAAATGGGATCTAATTAAACCAAAAAGCTTGTGCATGGCAAAAGAAACTATCAACAAGAGTAAACAGCCTACAGAAGAGGAGAAAATATTTGCAAACTATACACGTGACAAAGGTCTACTATCCAGCATCTATAAGAAACTTAAGGCTGGGTGCAGTGGCTCACACTTGTAATCCCAGTACTTTGGGAGGCCGAGGCAGGTGGATCACGAGGTCAGGTGATGGAGACCATCCTGGCTAACATGGTGAAACCCCGTCTCTACTGAAAAAAACAAAAACAAAAACAAAAAAAAATTAGCTGGGCATGGTGGCGGGCGCCTGTAGTCCCAACTACTTGGGGGGCTGAGGCAGGAGAATGGCATGAACCCGGCAGGCAGAGCTTGCAGTGAGCTGAGATCGCACCACTGCACTCCAGCCTGGGCGACTGAGAAAGACTCCATCTCAAAAAAAGAAAAAAACTTAAGCAAATTTCCAAGAAAAAAACCAAGCAACTTTATTTTATTTTTTATTTATTTTTTATTTTTGAGACAGAGTATCGCTCTGTTGCCCAGGCTGAAGTGCTATGGCACACAATCTCGGCTCACTGCAACCTCTGCCTCCTGGGGTCAAGCAATTCTCCTGTCTCAGCCTCCTGAGTAGCTGGGATTACAGGCACCCACCTGTAATCCACCACCACACCAGGCCATTAATTTTTTGTATTTTTTTAGTAGAAATAAGGTTTTGCCATGTTGGCCAGGATGGTCTCGAACTTCTGACCTCAGGTGATCTGGCCTCAGCCTCCCAAAGTGCTGGGATTACAGGCCTGAGCCACCGCACCCGGCCATAAAACAACAATATTCCAAAGTGAGCAAAGGGCATGAGCAAACACTTTTCAAAAGAAGACAAACTTGAGGCCAACCAGCATATGAAAAAAAGCTTGGCTAGGCGCGGTGGCTCACGCCTGTAATCCCAGCACTTTGGGAGGCCAAGGCAGGTGTATCACCTGAGGTCGGCAGTTCAAGACCAGCCTGGCGAACATGGTGAAACCCGCCCCCCCAACCCGTCTCTACTAAAAATACAAAAATTAGCTAAGTGTGGTGATGCATGTCTGTAATCCCAGCTACTCGGGAGGGTGAGGCAGGAGAACTGCTTGAACCGGGAGGCGGGGGTTGCAGTGAGCCAAGATGGCACCACTGCGCTCCAGCCTGGGTGAAACAGAGCGAGACTCTGTCTTAAAAAAAGAAAAGAAAAGAAAAGCTCGATATTACTGATCATTAAAGAAATGCAAATCAAAACCACAATGAGATACCATATCGTATCAGTCAGAATGGCTATTATTAAAAAATAAAAAAATAACAGATGGTGGCGAGGTTTTGGAGAAAAAGGAATGCTTATACACCGTTGGCAGGAGTGTAAATTAGTTCAACCATTGTGGAAGACAGTGTGGTGATTTCTCAAAGATATAAATACAGAAATACCATTCCACCCTGCAATCCCATTACTGGGTATATACCCAAAGGAAAATAAATTGTTGTTATAAAGACACAGGCACAGGTATGTTTATTGCAGCACTATTCACAGTAGCAAAGAAAAAAAAAAGACTCCAGGAGGCGTCCCTGGGAGACTTTCTCCAGCCTCATAGCCCATCTTGCGCCCAAGTGACAGCACGTGGCTTTCCTTTTGTGAGGGGAGCCCATGGGATTCACTCCCTTTTCCTATTTCCTCCGGGGTGAAGCCTCATGTGTCGGGACAATGTGGGATCAGGGACTGTCTGGGTGACCCTGGCGAGCCTCTCCTCACGGAGTTCTAGCGGCCATCAGGGAAAGGGGAGCACGCCCAGGGCGGCCGCCCCCAGGGGTGTTTGGATACAGGCCAGGAGCAGGCTGCTCTGTGATGGTGGGGCGGGGGGTGATAAGACTCCCCTGAGAGGCTCCCTTCGGTGCTGGAAAGATGGGACATGGGGAACCGCCTCCTGCCTGGACCTGTTGATGCCCAGAGCCACTCCCCTGGGTCCTCATCGCTCCTTCCAGGCAGTGAGGATGTGGGTTTCCAGGGGAATCCAGGCCTTTAGGGAGAGTGGGAATCTGACTTTGATCTTGCAGCTCCGCATTTTTCCTGCACATTTGCTGATTAGTTTATGCCTGTCAGGGGCCTCAGGGCCAGTGCTAAGTCCCAGGGTCTTAGGGTAGGAAAGATGATTCCCCAGATTTCCTGCAGGCATTTGAGCATGGTGGAAGGATCAGTGGAGCCTCCAGTGAAACTTGGCAGATTGCGCACTTCATTTATTTTCACTCTCCCAGGATCCTTCCCAAATTATCATAAATAAACAGAGAATTCTGAAACCTACAAAGAAAAATACAGCAAAAGAACAATGAATCAGTTTCAAAGCCTAGGCAGAGAGGCCGTAGGGTGACTGACAGCAGCCCCTGTGGGACTGGAGAGCAGACGGTTTGGTGGAAACAGCGCCCAGTTCCACAGAGGGAACTTGAGGAGAAGCAAAGTGACTGAGCCAGCAGAGCCGGGCCCCAGACCCCCACCCCAGCCTGTGGGAACTGCAGGTGTGATCTGGGAACACACTGTTCTGTCCCTTCTATTTTTCTCTTCATATAAGCTCTGGTTCTAGAAACAACTCACCTGCAGCCGTGTGTGTGTGTGTGTGTGTGTGTGTGTGTGTGTGTGTGTGTGAAAGAGACAGAGCACGTGGGAGCTCATTTCTCCCTGGGTGTGTGTGTGTGTGTGTGTGTGTGAAAGAGACAGAGCACGTGGGAGCTCATTTCTCCCTGGGTGTGTGTGTGTGTGTGTGTGTGTGTGTGTGAAAGACAGAGACACAGCACGTGGGAGCTCATTTCTCCCTGGGTGTGTGTGTGTGTGTGTGTGTGTGTGTGTGTGTGTGTGTGTGTGAAAGACAGAGACAGAGCACGTGGGAGCTCATTTCTCCCTGGGTGTGTGTGTGTGTGTGTGTGTGTGTGTGTGTGAAAGACAGAGACACAGAGCACGTGGGAGCTCATTTCTCCCTGGGTGTGTGTGTGTGTGTGTGTGTGAAAGACACAGAGCACGTGGGAGCCCATTTCTCCCTGGGTGTGTGTGTGTGTGTGTGTGTGTGAAAGAGACACAGAGCACGTGGGAGCCCATTTCTCCCTGGGTGTGTGTGTGTGTGTGTGTGTGTGTGTGAAAGACAGAGACACAGAGCACGTGGGAGCCCATTTCTCCCTGGGTGTGTGTGTGTGTGTGTGTGTGTGAAAGAGACACAGAGCACGTGGGAGCTCATTTCTCCCTGTGTGTGTGTGTGTGTGTGTGTGAAAGACAGAGACACAGAGCACGTGGGAGCCCATTTCTCCCTGGGTGTGTGTGTGTGTGTGTGTGAGAAAGAGACACAGAGCACGTGGGAGCTCATTTCTCCCTGGGTGTGTGTGTGTGTGTGTGTGTGTGTGTGAAAGACAGAGACACAGAGCACGTGGGAGCCCATTTCTCCCTGGGTGTGTGTGTGTGTGTGTGTGAGACACACAGAGCACGTGGGAGCGCATTTCTCCCTGGGTGTGTGTGTGTGTGTGTGAGAGAGACAGCACGTGGGAGCGCATTTCTCCCTGTGTGTGTGTGTGTGTGTGTGTGTGTGACACACAGAGCACGTGGGAGCTCATTTCTCCCTGGGTGTGTGTGTGTGTGTGTGTGTGTGAGAGACAGCACGTGGGAGCGCATTTCTCCCTGGGTGTGTGTGTGTGTGTGTGTGTGTGAGACACAGCACGTGGGAGCGCATTTCTCCGTGTGTGTGTGTGTGTGTGTGTGTGACACAGAGCACGTGGGAGCGCATTTCTCCCTGGGTGTGTGTGTGTGTGTGTGTGTGACACACAGAGCACGTGGGAGCGCATTTCTCCCTGGGTGTGTGTGTGTGTGTGTGTGTGTGTGTGTGTGTGTGAAAGACAGAGACACAGAGCACGTGGGAGCCCATTTCTCCCTGGGTGTGTGTGTGTGTGTGTGTGTGACAGAGCACGTGGGAGCGCATTTCTCCCTGGGTGTGTGTGTGTGTGTGTGTGTGACACACAGAGCACGTGGGAGCTTTCTCCCTGGGTGTGTGTGTGTGTGTGTGTGTGTGAGAGAGACACAGAGCACGTGGGAGCGCATTTCTCCCTGGGTGTGTGTGTGTGTGTGTGTGTGACACACAGAGCACGTGGGAGCGCATTTCTCCCTGGGTGTGTGTGTGTGTGTGTGTGTGTGACACACAGAGCACGTGGGAGCGCATTTCTCCCTGGGTGTGTGTGTGTGTGTGTGTGTGTGACACACAGAGCACGTGGGAGCTCATTTCTCCCTGGGTGTGTGTGTGTGTGTGTGTGTGTGTGTGTGTGTGAAACACAGAGCACGTGGGAGCGCATTTCTCCCTGGGGGTGTGTGTGTGTGTGTGTGTGTGAGAGACACACAGAGCGCGTGGGAGCGCATTTCTCCCTGGGTGTGTATGTGTGTGTGTGTGTGTGTGTGAGAGACACAGAGCACGTGGGAGCGCATTTCTCCCTGGGTGTGTGTGTGTGTGTGTGTGTGTGTGTGTGTGTGAGAGAGAGAGACACAGAGCGCGTGGGAGCGCATTTCTCCCTGGGTGTGTGTGTGTGTGTGTGTGTGACACAGAGCACGTGGGAGCGCATTTCTCCCTGGGTGTGTGTGTGTGTGTGTGTGACACACAGAGCACGTGGGAGCGCATTTCCCCCTGGGTGTGTGTGTGTGTGTGTGTGTGTGTGTGTGAGACAGAGCGCGTGGGAGCGCATTTCTCCCTGGGTGTGTGTGTGTGTGTGTGTGAGAGAGAGACAGAGCACGTGGGAGCGCATTTCTCCCTGGGTGTGTGTGTGTGTGTGTGTGTGTGTGTGTGTGTGTGTGTGAAAGACAGAGACACAGAGCACGTGGGAGCCCATTTCTCCCTGGGTGTGTGTGTGTGTGTGTGACACACAGAGCACGTGGGAGCGCATTTCTCCCTGGGTGTGTGTGTGTGTGTGTGTGTGTGAGAGACACACAGAGCACGTGGGAGCTCATTTCTCCCTGGGTGTGTGTGTGTGTGTGTGTGTGTGTGTGTGTGTGTGAGAGAGCACGTGGGAGTGCATTTCTCCCTGGGTGTGTGTGTGTGTGTGTGTGTGTGACACACAGAGCACGTGGGAGCGCATTTCTCCCTGGGGGTGTGTGTGTGTGTGTGTGTGTGAGACACACAGAGCACGTGGGAGCGCATTTCTCCCTGGGTGTGTGTGTGTGTGTGTGTGTGTGACACACAGAGCACGTGGGAGCGCATTTCTCCCTGTGTGTGTGTGTGTGTGTGTGTGTGTGTGTGAGAGACACAGAGCACGTGGGAGCGCATTTCTCCCTGGGTGTGTGTGTGTGTGTGTGTGTGAGACACAGAGCACGTGGGAGCGCATTTCTCCCTCTGTGTGTGTGTGTGTGTGTGTGTGTGTGTGTGTGTGTGTGACACACAGAGCGCGTGGGAGCGCATTTCTCCCCGGCTCCAGATGGCGGCGAGGAAAAGCGAGATCGCACAGGATCCAGGTTCTTTGAGGCCTGATGCCCATTGTCCCACCCTCAGCCTTGGCCTGTCCCCAGCTTGCTGCTGCCTCAAACTACAGGCTTCCAAGCACTTACTGGAGCCATTTTTTCTCACGTAGCCCTCCAACTGTTAGTCAGGGTTAGCCAGGCTCTGTCCGCCCCCAGCCAATCAGACAGTCAGTTTCCCCAGCCAGCGGGGAGTTTCTGGTTTGCCAAGACTCAGAGGCTGGTGGAAGCCAGACTGGGAAGGGGGTGGCTCTCCTGGCTGAGCGGGGGAGAGAGATGGGGCGGGCTGTCTTAGAGGAGGAGGCCAGAGTCTCTGACGAGTAGGGAGCCAGCCGTGCCGGGACTGGGCAGAGCGTGTTCACAGCACAGGTGGATGCAAGTGCAGAGCCCTGAGGGTGAAAGGCAGGGCTGCGGTGGGGCTTAGAGAGGAGAACAAGGGGTGGAGAGAAGTGGGGCAGAGTGGCTAGCCGCCCAGTCGGACCAGGCCTCATGGACTCTGGTGGCCACTTCAGATTCTCTTTTGGCTGCAGGTTTTAATCCCAACAGCAGTGCAACCTGGTCACACTTGAGAAACATGGGCAGCTGCCGTGGCAAGCACAAGTTGAAGCGGATGGATGTTAGTGGGCTTTGCTGTGGTGGGAGTGGGCATGATGACGGCATGGGCTGGGCATGGTGGGAAGGCTGGAGAGAAGCGGGAAGACCGGGTGTGTGAAGTGACCTCACCTGCCCACAACTCGCTGAGGTCACGGCAGGTGTGTGAGGAGGAATGGAGTATAGGAACTCCCGGGTCTTGGCCTGTGCAGCGGGTAGCGGGGGTGTCATGGGGACAGCCGCGGATAATGAGGGAGGGGCTCGGTGGACCCCTTGCTAGGTGGGGCCAGGCTCTGGCCCTCTTGTGCATCGCTTTTTGTACATCACGGTGTGGGCAGTGCTGTCCTGGGGCAATGTGGATCCATTATTCACTGCAGCACGGCACTACTGTTATCTTCTTATTTATTTGTTTAGTTATTGTTTATCCCCCAAATAGAATGAATGGCTTGCTGAAGTATCCCTTGTGCCTAGAACAACATTGGCACAGGGCAGGGGCTCGATGGATATTTGCTGAATGGACGGATAAAAGGATGGATGGTGGACACATGGATGGTGGATGGATGGCCGAATGAATGGATGGATGGATGGTGGATAGATGGCTCTGACGGGGGAATGGGAAGTTTGATACGTTGCTTCAGAGCCCAGAGAGGTTGGGGGGGTGGGGGTAGGAGCAGCGGCCCTGCCATCCTTCCCTCCCTGAACCACCCGACCCTCACAGCCCGTCTCAAATGGGCAAGGGGTTCAGGCATCCAGGGAGACGCACAGCTGCTGCCACACCAGGGCTCAGCAGTCTAGTCTTCTGCCCACCACACCGTCTCTCCTGCCTGCAACACCACTCTCCCTCCCACCCCCAGGGCACGGGACCTCCCCTGGGATCTGACCCCTCACCTCCAACGTGGTCCCCAGAGGGCAGGACGGAGTGCCTGGGACATTTTGCATGGCCTCCAAGGAAGCAGCAGCCAGGAGGCGCCACAGACCTGAGGTTTTGCAGAGGCGGGACAGCTGCCAGCACCCAGGGCCCCGCCCTGGCGACACGGAGGTGCTGCGGCCAAGAGGGTTCCCCTTTGGGTTCACTGCTGCTGCCCACCACCCGGATCTGGGACGGCAAGGCTGCTGGGGACACTTAGCTTAGCTGGGACAATGTCTCAGGAAGCAGGAAACAGTTGGATCTGCATAGTGGTGGCTGTGGAAAGTCAGCACACAAGGGAAGTCCCCTGCCCATCAGTGTGTAGAAGGAGGTCCTGTGTCCAGTCACGGCTTTCAGGACCAAAGGCTTCCGCAGGGGCCCCAGGCCAGGGCTGCTCTGACCCTCCCATTCCTTTCCCCTCCAACCCCCTCCAGTGTACAAAACGCAGCGCCTGCAGGTGTGCTCAGAAGAGGAACTCCGCAGAGTGGAGCTAAGTCTCCGACATGGGAGAGAGGGAGAGGATCCCCTCTAGAAACCTGGCCTGGGCTCACATGATCCTGTCCTGGTATGTCCCAGTGTCCAGCAGGAACTTCTTGGGTCCAAGACAAATCTCCAGCTTCTGGCTCCCTGCTGGGCACTCGGTAGGTGCCTGATAAATATTTGCAGGATTCTGTAAGAATCAGAATTCCAGTTGTGCTATCTGAGGAGTCCGACAGAAAAGCAGAAGAGGTTATACCAGTGGAGGGAAGGTGGTCTTGGGGTCTGAACAGTTCGTCCACTGCTGCTCAGGTAGGTGGTTTCACCCAGGGTCAGTTTTGTCTTCTGGAGATAGGCCAGGTGACCTGACTTCCTTCACCCTGGGGCACCTATCCCTTCCCTGCAACTGGAGAGCCGGTGTGGTCAGGAGCTGGCTGTCAGCACCCCAACCCCTTTCGCCTTGCCAGCACTTAGGCCTCAGGCCCTGGTTCTTGGCGTGCCTTGTGTCCTCCTTTCCCTGGGGCAACATGGGCCCATCACACTGTAGAAAATGCTGGATTCTCCCATAGGTAACCTGTCTACTAGACAAAATACAGTGACTACCTATGTCCCATTCAGAGGAACAAGGACGCCAGGGCTCAGGTGACTCAGGAGTCCTGCAACCAAATTTGATTGGTCCCTAAGCCCCAAAGCCTTCAGCCATATAGCTTGCTAGCCATGTACAGATACTGATGACCCCCCCAAACACACAGTCATTCTCTTCCCAACCTCCCCGACATCCACATACCTGGGCAATGGCCACTCTGTGCAACTGACTCCTACCCCTCCTCCACCTTGGGCTGCTTGTAGGGTGCCATTACGGCAGTAAGGCGCTCCCTGGGCATCCAGATGCTGGTTGTGAGGGGGTGAATTGAGGGGCAGGCTGGAGGGAGGGGTGATCTTGGTGGGGTGGGAACTTGGAAGACTTCCAGGCTAATTTTGCCCACATTCAAAAGAGGAGTCTTAGAGAGCCTCTTTAGTTCAGCTTCTTCTTCCAGCTAATAGGAGAGAGTGTGCGTGCTCCAATTTCGGGGGAGAGGTTCAGATAATTTCAATAAAACCTGGAAAAAGCCATTGTAATGCCCACACAGCACAGTCTTAGAGCAGGCAGAGCCCCTGCTGTGAGGCCAGTCTTGGAGAGCCGTGGGCCTCCTGCAGTAGCGCCTCTCTGGAGGAGCGGGGCGAGTAGTTCCGGGAGCATAGTGGGTAGTTCTCAGGGTCCAGGGCATGTGCCACCCGGAGTCGCAGCCCCTTCTCCCACTTCTAGCCCAGGGTCCCAGTACTGGGATTCCCTGACCGAATGGCACCCATCCTGCTATTCCCGGATTCCATCTTGCCAAGGGCAGGCCGAGCCTTAGGCCCCAGGAAGCCAAGTGGGGGCACCATTTGCGGAGGTGGGGGGTGTAGACCGCTCCAGGACTGGCAAGTGGCGTCCACTCTCCAGCTGGGAGAGCCCTCTCCTGGTACCAGAGGGAGCCGAGCTGGGTAGAGACGCAGGACAGGCAGTGGGCCGGGCTTTTCGCTTGTCCTCTCCGATCTTGGGAGCCAGGCGCCCGTTTCTGGAAGAAAAACCAAAGCTGGACTGGGAAGGACTCTTGTGGAGACCCGGACGTCAGGCGTGGCGCGTTGGGGAAGCAGCTCCACGGGGACCCAGGAGGCGCCGGCCGGGTTGAGCCGGGTTGGTTCCGACCCAAGAGAGCTCGTCCCACGACGGAGCAGGTCCCTTTGCATCCCGTGGGGCCGCCAGGTGCAATTTTCGCTGGGCCGACGGCGCGGAGATGGGCCAGAGTCCGGCCATCCAGAAGTGCCTGGAGCGCACAGCAAGGCCCTGCCCTCGGCTCCGTGAAGGTGAGGGGGTAAAGTCGGCCCGGAGTCCCCGGGGGTGCAGGAGGGGCCCCGCGGGTTCCAGCAGACCCTCGACGGAACGTTCCAGGCAGGCGAGATCTCGCACAGAATCTGCCCTTTTAAAGGCTCGGCTTTGTCCTCGTTAAACTTGCGTCTGGCAACGCGACCGCTGCGGCTCCCGAGCAAGATTAGAGGGTTTCCGCTCGCAGGGGCGCGCCCGGGGACCGCGCCTCCCCGCCTGGTCTCGGCGCCCCGGCCCAGGGGTCTTCAGTGGTGAGGGGCGCCCAGATCGCTGCATCCCCTGGAGCTCTGCGCCCGGCCGAGCCACTCAGAGCTCCCGCCCCGCACACCCACTTCGAGCTCCAAGTCCTTCCTTTTCTATACTCCAAGTTGGATCCTGCTGGGAAGGAAGGGCCCTTCCTGAGAGACCAGGGATTGCGATTTCCCAGCACAAAGTCGAATTCATGACTTCAGCTTCAACGGGGCTGCATTCTCCCCTTGGCAGGAATGGGATGGAGCGAGGGTGAAGCTGCTGGAAAGACACTCGTTTTATTTTTTTAATCGTAAACGGGGCAACTTCCAACTCTGCCAGTTTTAAGCTTCTAGAGTATCTCCTCGGCGGAGCGCGGTGGCTCACGCCTGTAGTCCCAACACTTTGGGAGGCCGAGGCGGGCGGATCACGAGGTCAGGAGATCGAGACCATCCTGGCTAACACGGTGAAACTCAGTTTCTACTGAAAATACAACAAATTAGCCGGGCGCGGTGGCGGGCGCCTGTAGTCCCAGCTACTCCGGAGGCTGAGGCAGGAGAATGGCGTGAACCCGGGAGGCGGAGCTTGCAGTGAGCCCAGATCGCGCCCCTGCACTCCAGCCTGGGGGACAGAGCGAGACTCCGTCTCAAAACAACAGAAAAGAGCATCTCCTCTACCGAGAAGGGAAGACAGGGGAGTCCATCGGGTGCGCACTCCGCTGTCGCCCAGGCTGGGTTGCTGGGGCTCCAGTCTGCGGTGTTCAGGCCCAAAGCCTGCAGCCTGTTCAGTCCAGGGCACCGCAGGCGCCAGAACTCTGGCGGGCGGGCGGGCGGCGAGAAGGGCTGTCTAGGGCGCACGCCTCCCGCAGGGGCGTCAGAGGGTCGGGGCCGCAGGAAAGGAGGTGGGCGAGGACTAGCGAATGTAGAAGGGAAGGGCGCAGAGAACTTGACTTCCCACCTTTTGCGCTTTCCAGGCCAGCTCAGGGGCGAGTGTGGGCAGGGCGAGTGTGGGCAGGGCGAGTGTGGGCAGGGCGAGTGTGGGCACGGCGAGTGTGGGCACGGCGAGTGTGGGAGACCCTAGGTCTGCGCCACCGCCGGCGTGAGCCTGAAAAGCTGCTGGGAGAACCAGCTCCGAAACAGAGTGCCCGGAAGAGATTGTGACACCTATGGAAATTTAATGAATTGATAAAGGGATCGATTCGATTCAATGTGAGAATGTTAGTTTATTTAATAAATAGTGCTGGTATAGTTGTCGATCTAGAAGAAACTCAATCCTCTGGTTTTCGGTATACACAAAATTGGTTCTGGATTTATTATAGGTTTTTTGTTTTGCTTTACTTTTAGTCAAATCGTTGAAGAAATATTATGGGGCATTTTTCTAGGCTTTATTATTAACTATTATTATTCGATGAGACAACATCCTAAACTACACTTTTTGGCAAGCTACTCAGGCAGTATCTCTTACCATTTTAAATAAACATAACGTTTAACACAGCAATCCTAACTTGGGACAGCTATCCCACAAAAACAAAAGCACCTGGATAAGAGGAAACTGTAGGGGAAAGTGTTTTGATGGAAACCGGCATGAGGGCCCTCCTTTCCGGTTTTGATTCTATCGGGTCTCTGAGGCCTTCCGGGCTTTTGGGCTATTTTACAACATTGTAGCTGATTGCAATGCAAAAATAGCCCGGCCCCTAGACAGGTACGTGAATTCTGTTCCGTGGAGATTCGGTTGACTACGCTCCCCAACTGTGGAAGAGGCCAGCTGTGTGTCCATTTACACGTTCACTTTGCTATTCATCTATAAATGTGTCTGTTCTTTGGATTGTCCTTGGTTTAAACATCTTCATTATTGCCTCAATAATGAATTAAGATATTTAGTACACAATTATTTTGCATCTCTGAGTCATGATTTTACCTTTAATAAAAAAAAAATCCTTTAGCAATATAACTGCAGAGGCACAAAACAAAACACCAAACAATGAACTGCCAGTTAGCAATGAAAACAATAAAATCTGTATGAGCCACTCGCAAGATGTCCATAGGTTGTTAGTTTTAAAAGGACATTATAACATATATGGCAGGATCCCATTTTTGTTTTTATTTTTTAAGATGGAGTCTCGCTCTGTCGCCAGGCTGGAGTGCAGCGGTGAGATCTCAGCTCACTGCAACCTCCACCTCCTGGGTTCAAGT
Organism: Homo sapiens; assembly: GCF_000001405.40. Classification (NCBI taxonomy): domain Eukaryota; kingdom Metazoa; phylum Chordata; class Mammalia; order Primates; family Hominidae; genus Homo; species Homo sapiens. Next base: position 125,603 of record NT_187546.1, read on the forward strand.
GATTCTCCTGCCTCAGCCTCCCGAGTAGCTGGGACTACAGGTGTGCGCCACCACGCCCAGTATTTTTAGTAGACACGGGGTTTCACCGTGTTGGCCAGGGTCTCAAGCTCCTGATCTCATGATCTGCCTGCCTCCGCCTCGCAAAGCGCTGGGATTACAGGCGTGAGCCACCCGCACCTGGCAGGATCCCATTTTCAATTTTAAAAAGGAAAAAGCCATTAGCCTGGGCTATATAACAAACACAAAGCCACCCAGATAGCACTGAGTACCCCTCGGTTCAGATCCTGTGTTACACTGTGCTTTCCACTTCTAAGACATGCTGTCATTTGTGTGCCTGTCTTCCGAGTTTACTTCCTGTGTATGCACTGGTGGAGGCTAAAGGAATTCCATCTCGGATGAGAGGCTAGTCATTCTATTTTGGATGCTAAGCCACCAAGTGGAATTCTGATTAACCCCGTTCTGGGATCCAAGATCGTTCCTTGTGTAAGGGTAGGTAAAGAGGTATTCCCCGTAAATCGGCACTTAGGACAAAGTCGTACCCATTCCCTCTGAAGCACGGGTGCCCCTCCCCTCTAGTATAGAATCCCTGGGTCTTGAGGGGGTAGACACCATCTTCTCTGGCCACAGCTCAGGACATGGATGTGGCTTCTGCTCTCAGGCCCTGTTCAATGTTTTTAATTGTTTTGTTTTGTTTTGTTTTTTGAGATGGAGTCTTGCTCTGTCACCCAGGCTGGAGTACAGTGGTACGATCTCGGCTCACTGCAACCTCTGCCTCCCAGATTCAAGCGATTCTCCTGCCTCAGCCTCCTGAGTAGCTGGGATTACAGGCGTGAGCCAGCATGCCTGGCTAATTTTTGTATTTTTGGTAGAGATGGGGTTTCATTATGTTGCTCAGGCTGGTCTCGAACTCCTGACCTTGTGATCTGCCTACCTCGGCCTCCCAAAGTGTTGGGATGACAGGTGTGAGCCACAGTGCCTGGCCTCAATGTTTCTTTTTAAGAAACTGAATTTTTCAGCCTTTGGCCTCTCAGCTTCCTTGGACTTTGGAGTGGGTTTGCACAGGCCTGCCCACTACAAAACAGCGCTCTAACATACGCCATGCAAAAGTAAACATATAATCATTTTTAAACCTTTACATAATGTTTATTTTGCACATTTAAACACTTTATATAAAGGGTATGATATATGGAAGTTGTTTTTTAAATAAAAATTCTGATCAGGCGCAGTGGCTCATGCCTGTAATTGCAGCACTTTGGGAGGCTAAGGCAGGTAGATCATTTGAGAACAGGAGTTCGAGACCAGACTGGCCAACATGGTGAAACCCATCTCTTCTAAAAAAAAAAAAAAAAAAAAAAATACAAAAATTAGCTGGGTATGGTAGCATGCACCTGTAGTGCCAGCTACTCTGGAGGCTAAGAGAATTGCTTGAACCTGGGAGGCGGAGGTTGCAGTGAGCCGAGATCTCACCATTGCACTCCAGCCTGGGCAACAGACCAAGACTCGGTCTCAAAAAAAAAAAAAAAATGTTTTTTTTAAATTCCTGAAGGACATAACAGAAGTCTGGAAGAAACGACAAGACACACCTTGTGTTTGGATAAGAAAATTAAATATTTTAAAGGTATTGATAATTCTTACATTTCAATCATTAAAAGACTGTAGTGCTGGAACTGGAATAGAGAAACTGATTGATGAAAAAGAATGAGGAGTCCACAGCTGTCCCATATATATATATATACACATCGGTATATATATATATACACATCTGTATATATATATATATATCTGTATATATATACACATCTGTATATATATATGAGAACTCAGTATATGAAAAATTATGATTTTACAAATCAATAGGGTGAAGTTTGACGATTAAGTAAATAACAATGGAATAACTAATTAGCTGATTGAGGGAAATTGCATGACTATTTTGCTGCACATAGCAAAATAAATTTCAGGTGATTCAAGTTGTAGCCTTTTGATCCAAATAATAAAGAAAACATAGATCAAACCACTAAAAACAGATTTCTCACCCGGGGCTCTTCATCTGAACCACACAACACAGAAAATGAACTGAGTGACTAATTTCTAAAACATCTACCAGTTCTACAAAACTGGTGTCATTCTAGATGTTTCAGACAGAAGTTAATGCCTTACATACAACAGGTGTCGGAAATTCGTGTTAATTCTCTCAGGAAAACTTCACTGCGAAAGGCTAAAAGACAAATAACCAACTTTAAAAAATAGTTGCAATGTGTGGCCAGGCGTGGTGGCTCATGCCTGTAGTCCCAACACTTTGGGAGGCCGAGGCCAGTGGATTGCTTGAGCTCACAAGTTCCAGACCAGCCTGGCCCACATAGTAAAACCCCATCTCTACTAAAAACACAAAAATTAGTCGGGCATGGCAGCGTGCATCTGTAGCCTCAGCTACTTGGGAGACTGAGGCAGGAGAATCGCTTGAACCCGGAAGGCAGAGGTTGCAGTGAACCGAGATAGTGCCACTGGACTGCAGCCTGGATGACAAAGTGAGACTATGTCTCAAAAAAAAAAAAAATTGGTTGTAACATGTATGAATAGGAATTCATATCCCTAATCCACAAAGCTCTCAGACGCTAATAAAAGATGACTATATCAATATACAAATACACAACACAGAGGCAATGCAGAAAAGAAAAATGTAAATTGCCAATAAACATGAAACTTTTAACTCTCACTAGCAATTAATGAACATTTTAAAATAAGCAAACAAGAAGACATCACTCTCAGTTAACAAATTGTCAAAAATGGTACAGGTTAACAAGGAGGTGCTGAAACCAATACTCAGGTTCTTTTGGTGGAATTCAAACCAGTGTAATTTTTCTAGAAGGCAGTCTGGCTCAAGGAGATAATTAGGTAGGAGTGCAATTGTGTAATACAGGGGTTGTGATTCCAGACTTTTTAATAATATATATAAAAAACTACTCACAACTTGAGTATCCATCACTAAAGGCCCGTTTAAAGATTATTCTATGGGACGGGTGTGGTGGCTCATGCCTGTAATCCCATCACTTTGGGAGGCCGAGGCAGGTGGATCACCTGAGATCAGGAGTTTGAGACCAGCCTGGACAACATGGTGAAACCCCAGCTCTCCTAAAAATACAAAAATTAGGTGAGGCTGGGTGTGGTGGCTCACACCTGTAATCCCAGCACTTTGGGAGGCCGAGGCAGGCGGATCACCTGAGGTCAGGAGTTCGAGACTGGCCTGATCAATATGGTGAAAGCCCATCTCTACTGAAAATACAAAAATTAGCCGGCTTTGGTGGCGGGCGCCTGTAGTCCCAGCTACTCGGGAGGCTGAGACAGGAGAATCACTTTGAACCCGGGAGGCAGAGGTTGCTGTGAGCCGAGATCACACCACTGCACTCCAGCCTGGGCGAAAGAGGGAGACTCCATCTCAAAAAAAAAAAAAAAAATTATGTGGGCGTGGTGGTACATGCCTGTAATCCCAGCTACTCAGTTGGCTGAGGTTGGAGAATCGCTTGAACCCAGGAAGTGGAGGTTGCAGTGAGCTGAGATCACGCCATTGCACTCCAGCCTGGGTGACAAGAGTGAGACTCAGTCCCAAGAAAAAAAAAAAAAAATTCTTCTGTGAAGTGCTGTGAGCACGAGAATGCCGGCTGACAGCCACCACTGCTGCCATCACCATCCACCTCCCTCCAGGGGCTTCATTCTTCACTTCATCGAGCTGCCTCCCCGTCCCTTGTCCCTACCCCTTGCCCTGCTTCTGCAGGAGGTAACCCTGCTGAGGGTCGGGGAGCAGGGCTGCAGGCACAGGGAAACTTCCTTCCCACTAAATGGGTAGCAGGGATGGGACAGGGAAGAGGAGTTGGAAGAGAGGAGAGAGATGAAAGAGGGAGGGGAAAAAAAACAAGAATAAAAATCATATCTAGAGGCACATGAAAAAATAAAAATTAAATATTAAAAAAATCAGGCCTGGCGCAGTGGCTCACACCTGTAATCCCAGCACTTTGGGAGGCTGAGGCAGGTGGATCATTCGAGGTCAGGAGTTCAAGACCAACCTGGCCAACATGGTGAAACCCCGTCTCTACTAAAAATACAAAAAATTAGCCGGGCACGGTGGCACACCCTGTAATCCCAGCTACTCGGGAGGCTTAGGCAGGAGAATTGTTTGAACGCGGGAGGCGGAGGTTGCAGTGAGCCGAGATCACTCCATTGCATTCCAGCTTGGGCAACAAGAGCAAAACTCCGTCTCAAAAAAGAAAAAAAATTTAATTTAAAAAAGTTTTCTATGAACCCTCCAATAAGAGAGGTAAGCATACATATAAATAAGTGAATTGTGAGTAAAATAAGTGCATAATAAGCAATATCGCATAAAAATTGTACCATGAACTAGGCTCCATGCTGTTTCTTTTGAGAGGGTTCAGACCAAGGCGTTTCCCAGACGAGGCAGGTCCCTTCCTGGGAATGACCCCTCATCAGCCTCAGACGGTTTCGTCTTAGAAAAGTTTGCCCTAAATCAAATGGTTTCTTCTCTATCAGAAACCACATATGTTAAAATGTGCCGCTGATTTAAAAGTTGAAGGCAGATGTTGAAGACTTCTACAGGCAAAACTAATCAAATCTGATTGATGTATTTTTTATAAGACATTGGAGAGCATTCCTTGATGTTGAGATTTGCACAGGTTTGTTGGAAGTGGGATAGACTAGAGTTAAGGGAACCTATGCGACAATAAGTCAGAAAATACGGGGTCAGAAAAAGCCAAGTGTCTGCTGGAATGGAAAGGAGGGGACACTCTGAAGAGATATTTCGGCTGGGCTCAGTGGCTCACACCTGTAATCCCAGCACTTTGGGAGGCCGAGGCGGGCAGATCACGAGGTCAGGAGATTGAGACCATCCTGGCTAACATGGTGAAACTCCGTCTCTACTAAAAATACAAAAACAAAATTAGCCGGGCGTGGTGGCGGGCACCTGTAGTCCCAGCTACTCGGGAGGCTGAGGCGGGAGAATGGCGTGAACCCAGGAGGTGGAGCTTGCAGTGAGTCGAGATTGTGCCACTGGACTCCAGCCTGGGCGACAGAGCAAGACTCTGTCTCAAAAAAAAAAAAAAAAAAAAAAAAAAAGGTATTTCTAGGACAGAATAAACAAAAGTCAGTGACTGATTGAGATGGCGGGGTGGGCAATGGGGAAGGGATGTATAGGTAGACTCTTAAGTCAGAAGCCTTACTGAAATCAGCCAGAAAGAGCTGGGATCTTCTTCAATCGTGATCTCAATTAATGAAGGCCCTCACCTCCTAGCCCTTCAATCATCTCCACTCACCAGCAACTGTCTTCATCAATATCACCCTTCAGCAGGCAGCTCCACCGAGGCATCTTGCCCTGTCTCTTCCAGTAGCTCACCTCCCCAGACTTCCTCCACTAATCACCCCAGTGAGAATTCACCATGATCTCCCATTTTTAAATTTCTAATCGCTGAGCTGACCCTCACCATGCATCTGCTTCACCCATAGATGGAAAGGAAGCCACCCCATTTTCTTGTCTTTTCACGAGGGCCGCAGGCTGGGGATCACCTTGGTGGTACTTGTTTGACCTCAGTTCCAGGACTTGGATGGCTCAAGGCTGAGGGGGAGCATGGGAGGGGGTGGGGGGCAGGGCAGATGGCCGGCAGGGGCTGGGTGCAAGGTAGGGTACCAGTCCTCAGACTGGTGTGACAAAGCAAAGGCGCCTCCTGTGGAGGGCTGGGAAGGGAGGGCATGGCTGTAGGGGTGAGGGAAGCAGGTCACTGGTGGTGGTGGTGCTGCGTAAGAATAGGGGCAAGCAGTGGACTCTGGCAAGAAGCTGGAAAAGGCGGCAGGAGACAGATGGGCCAGAGGCTGAAGCAGTGAGCGCTCTTGCTTCCGTTGCTTAGCTCTGCGGTTCTGGAACCAGACCTGAGAAGGGGTAGGAACCACATCAGAGCCCACACTTGACATAGGTGGTGACACCCTACTCCAATGACAAGAGGTGCAGGGACAGGGAGCAGGCTTCTCCAGCATGGCCAGAGGGAGTAAAGCTCTTCCACAAGGCTTGGCTGAGCCTGGTCTGCTGACAAAGGAACCCACAGACTTGTCCCCAGCCTCTGTCCACATGTGCCCTTTTCTAACACTCGGGGCAAGTAAGAAGTGTCAGCTTCCACCAAGGAGATAAATATGGTGACAATGACATTTCCCTTCCCCAGAGAATGGGAAATTTCCCCTAGGGTTAAGTTTAACGATTAAGACTGTAGATAAATGTAATTGCTATAGACAAGCTT
>NT_167244.2:246466-321480 GCF_000001405.40 Homo sapiens
GGCCGTGCCTCTCTCTATCCTTTTCCTCGGAGCAGGCTGTGCTATGATCAAGGCATTGTGACCCCTGTGACCCACACGTACACATCCAGAAGGTCTCCTGGAGCCAGAAAGTCTGGGACAACAGGAAAACCACAAAAGAAGAAAAACAGCTCCTGTCTTAGCTGATTAGCCAACCTTGCGACCTTCTACCATTGTAACATGCTCTACCCTAACTGATCAATCAACTTCGTGACACTGTGCTCTGTGACCCCTCCCACCTTGTGATAATGTACCTTGTGACATTCTTCCCTTGCCCGCAATAAACGGGCCCTTATTGTATCTTTCCACTGCTTACTCCTAACCTATAAAACTAGCTGCAATCCCACCACCCTCCGGTGGTGGGACTCCCTTTTCGGACTCAGCCCGCTCGGACCAGAGTGAATAAACAGCTTGTTGCTCACACTTAGCCTGTTCAGGTTGTCTCTTCAGTTAGACGCGCGCATAACACTAACAATTCACTTAATAAATATTTATTGAGGGAACAGAGGTCGCAAATAAAATGTAATTAGTATTGCTCAAGATTAAACTTCTTTCAGCACGTTTGCCTTTTCTTCTTTTATCTAGTGAGATGTTGAAACCCATACCTAGAGTTCTGCTACAGAAATAAACGTATCCCACAGTGTTCTTGCGATTTCCTTTATGAATTTGAGAAAAATATGACCCCATTTTAGGTTCTAAGGAGTGTTTCTGTATTGTAGAAGGAAAATTCCATATTTGTATTGCCGTGGGCACAAAAAACCGAGCGCTCTCATGCCGAAACCCGGGATCGAACCAGGGACCTTTAGATCTTCAGTCTAACGCTCTCCCAACTGAGCTATTTCGGCTCCGCCCACGCCACTTAAAAATAAGGCTTAATGAATTTATTACTTATGTTTTTTATTTACTATTAGGTATTTATTAAAAAAAAAACCCACAATGACAGGTACTCCGAAGGAACCAAAGACAAATTAAAAAATTATTTCGTTCTTCAAATGGCTCACCACTTTATGCAAAGAAAAGCAAGAAGACAATTACAAATTGATGCTACAATTTATTCTCGGTTGAATGCACACATCGAAACAGAGCACGTTCCATCATCCAGTTACGAACTTCCCAAATTACTCTTATGGCATTGCCACGCCCTCTGCCGTCCAGATTTTATTGGTTGGTGCAAAACAGGAGGTCAGTGAATACGAGAGCATGACCGTGCACTAACTCGTCGGAAAAGTAGAAGTCAACTGTGTGCGTATGTGTTGAGTTCTCGCTTCATAAATATGTTTTAATAAACCTACTTCAGCTTCCCTGGTGGTCTAGTGGTTAGGATTCGGCGCTCTCACCGCCGCGGCCCGGGTTCGATTCCCGGTCAGGGAATGAGGTTTTTCTGTTTTAACCTCCAAATTCTTTCATCCAGGAACGAAATCTCTGAGTAAACAGCAAATTGTGGATAAGTTAACTTTCAATTTTCATAGGAGGCATTTTCTGCATAGAAACCCTGTTCCTGTTTTAGTATTCCAGGTACAAAATGACAAGCAATGTAATTTTCAATTATTTTAAAACATTTATTAATGAATACTTAATCTAGCGTAGACCGAGTGTCCGGCATTGTTCTAAGTAAGCGCTTTAACATTTTTAACTCAATTGGGTGATTCAGTAAGCGGGAAATTCCGGAGACAATCCATTAGGAGTTAGTTGAGATTAGCATAACCTTTTGAAAAGACAGTTATGAAGATGACAGAGAAGAAATGGCGAAGTCATTTCTGGGAGATTTGATCGCTGTGTTCAAGCTTCTGAAGCTGCTAGAGCCTCGGTGGTTTAGACACCTACTCTATCTTCCTCGGATTTCTCTGTAAGTTTCACGCTGCTCCAACTGGGCGCTAGGGGATAGCCCTAGAAATACCTACACAGTAATTTAATATTCTGGGCCAAAGCAGTTTCAGGACTGCTTCATCTCTCCAGCGCTTCAACCTTTTTTCCCCTATGAAGGTACAAATTATGTTTTTTTCCTAAGAGAGGATAGGAGAAGGTCATAAACATGAAATTAAAACCTGCTGTCACAAAACTGAGAAACAGGCAAACAATGAATTCAGCACCATCTCTGAATGCACATTTGGTAAATTTACCGAGAGCTACTGGAGAAAAAGCAGACTTTTTGTTTCTCTCCTGACAAGGTTTGGTGACCCTGTGCTAACTGGTTCCTGTCTGACAATATCGGGGCATGAATCTTTGTTTCTTGGTCTGTCTAAAGAGCAGCTATTGCTTATTATTTCTTTCTTATATCTGCTAAGAGTTTGGGGCACGTATGACTTCTCTACAAGTTTCCAAACAAAGATCGTGGTGCTCCTGATCTTATTTCACCAACAAATGGAATATGTGATTTTTTGTTTGTTTTTTGAAATGGAGTCTCTCTTTGTCGCCCAGGCTGGAGTGCAGTGGCCCGATCTCAGCTCACTGCAACCTCCGTTTCCCGGGTTCAAACAATTCTCCTGTCTCGGCCTCCCGAGTAGCTGGGATTAAAGGCACGTGCCACCACTCCAGGTTAATTTTTGTATTTTTAGTAGAGACGCGGTTTCACCATGTTGGCCAGGCTGGTCTCGAACTCCTGATCTCAAGAGACCCACCCGCCTCAGCCTCCCGAAGTGCTGGGATTACAGGCGTGAGCCACCGCTTCCAGCCAGGATGTGATGTTGTTATGATCCAGTTAAATGAAGCAGGACTTTTTCTAATTAATTGCACTTTCTCTTCTCTTCCCTGGCTCCATATATTCACAGTTTCCAAAACTTCCTTGAGATGGGACACTCTTTTGTCATCTTGTCAGTTCTGTCCTTGAATTAATAAACTTTGACACATACATAAGATCAATTTGACTAAGAAATCTTATTTTGACATAGACATAAAAGTAATATGGTTTGTAAAATTCCTGTATATACGGAAGCCTTTTAATCTAATGTTTCATAGGAATTCAACCCTCTAGGCCTGCTGGTGATCAGTTCTTGAAAAGCACCCTCTTTTCGTGATATCACACGTTGTCTCCTCTATGTGCAGCAAGAATCTCTTGCTTCATTAGTTTTTATGCCTCTGCTTTCAGAAAACAGTCTGGTTGGGACCCCTGTGAAAGGAACTGTCTGGCTTAACTTATCTTGATTAATGCCTCTTTTTTTCTTTTCTTTTCTTTTCTTTCATTTTCCACATAAAGCTAATTGGATTAGAGAAAAAGAACTCTTCTTCGAATGCTACCAGTTTCTTTCCTTCTCATCTGAGCTATTATTCATTGTCCATAGGAAAAAAAATTCCCTAATTTTGGCACGGTAGGTTCTGTTTATTCACCAGACTTGCTACCGTTTACTCGTCAGCTCAGAGAGAACGTCGAAAAAATATAACAAAACCAAAATATGCATCAAGACAAGAGGAGGAAAGAGAATGTGAAAGACTACTAAAAAAAAAAAAAAAAAAAAAAAAGTCAACAGCTAGGGTCAAGGAATCAATCTGCAAATATTCAGAGCCAGTAGGCTTGTACTACACTAGTCACTATGGAAAATGAAAAATGACCAAGACAGAAATCTCACCTCTTAACACCCCCCAAATCCCAATTTTCTCAACTGTAAAATGGGAATAAAAGTATTACAGTATTTACTATATAAAGTTGCGATGAGTCAATAACATAATACACAAAAGCAGTCAGCCAATTATCCAAATCCGTGTTATTAATATTATCATCATCATCATTCTTCTCACCGTACTTGGGGAATGAAGGAGACAGATACTGTGAGTAAGTTTTCCTTTTTTTTTTTTTTTTTTTTTTTTTTTAGACAGAGTCTCGCTCTGTCGCCCAGGCTGGAGTGGAGTGGCGCCATCTCGGCTCACTGCAAGCTCTGCATCCTGGGTTCACGCCATTCTCCTGTTTCAGCCTCCAGGTAGCTGGGCCTACCGGCGCCCGCCACCACGCCCGGCTAATTTTTTGTATTTTTAGTAGAGACGGGGTTTCACCGTGTTAGCCAGGATGGTCTCGATCTCCTGACCTGGTGATCCGCCCGCCTCGGCCTCCCAAAGTGCTGAGATTACAGGCGTGAGCTACCGCGCCCCGCCAAGTGAGTAAATTTTCTATTGGGCACAGAGTTACCTGCTAAAATGAAGTGTGGAAAAATACAATGGGGTGTGTGTATGTGAGAGAGAGAGGGAGATTTGGAGGTGGGGTGGGGAAGACCCTATTTGAAGTGGGCTTTGAAGAATGAACAAGATTTTTATTAGGGAACAAAATGGAAACCAGCATTCCAGGACAAGCGTCTCAGGAGAAGCAAAAGCGCAGAGTTGTGAAAGCTCTTAGATTTTCAGAACTTTGAATTCTGAACTATATATAAACCTGGAAAATCTCGGTTAACTATGGGATGGCATCAAGATTTCAATTTCAAGCTTTCTGGTCATGCACAGTAAAGCTGGAATTAGAGTCTCTTACGTATGGCAGTTGTTGACAAGTCCGTACAGGTACCTAAGTGCTTCCCAGAAAATTCCTCAAGTTGGTAGGTCCTGGGGGAATCAGTTTAGTTCTAAAGAGAGGACTCATCAGAGATCTGTTCAACTTCCAGGAATCTGTGAGGATAGCTCCAAATCTCACTCTCATGCCCAGCCTATCAAACAAAGCAAACCGGTTGGACTGAAGCTGTGGGATCGGGACTGAAATAGAACCAGCGAGAAAGGCAGTCCTCCTCGATTCCTAGAGAGAACACATTCAGCCAGCAGTTGGATAGAGGATACTAGCAAGTCCCTCGCCAGGGCGGGGGAGCAGAGACACATTCCTGTCCCGTTTACATTCTTCCTCTGGCGGAGGCGGGAGGGTCGCTTGAAGCCTCGGATTTCGAGATCAGCCAGGACAAAAAAGCGAGACCCCCGTTTCTACCAAAAAGGGGGGGGGGTGGGCGGGGGGAAGAGAGAGAGAGAGAGAAAGGAAAAGAAAGAGAAAGAAAAGAAAGAAAAACTAGGCGCGGTCACGTGTACGTGTAGTTCCAGCTGCTCGGAGGTTGAGGCGGGAGGATCTCTTGAGCCCAGAAGTTCGAGGCCGCAATGAGCTCTGATCGTGGCAGAGCGAGGCCCTGGCTCAAATACATACATACTTTGTTCTGACTTTGTGTGCCCTTACTCTTTCCTCAGGTGCACGCTTGGGCTCGTTACTGCTCAGAATTTTAGAATCACAGATCCAGCAGTGATCAGGCAGCTGCAGCTGTCAGGGACCACCACCACCTACGCGATTGATCCGTGGGAGAAGCCGTCCTACTCTTTTCTTTCTCCTTTGTCCTTCTCATTCCTGACCCCTTCAGGATTCTCAGTCTTCCCTCCGGGAGGTAGGGATTCTACGGAGAGAGAAGGGTTGTGGGGCTTGTTCTGTTGCGGGTTCAAACCCAAATTGTCTTTTTCTTTTCAGACTTTTGGCCAGTCTTGTCTCGCTCCAACCTCCTACCCCCACCCCATTCCTCAGTGCATTCGTGAATTTCTCCAAGCAGGCCTTTCCAGATCGACACTAAGTTCCAATCCCGAGCTGTGTGACCCAGCACCAATTCAGTCACGATGATGACTTGCAATTGCTTAATCAGTTGGCCTTTCCTCCTAGCTGTGAAGGTGAGGACCGCCGGTGTCAGCGTTCGTCCTGAATACTCAGTGCCCAGGCACAGAGTAGGCATTCAGTCAATACTTGTTGAACGGGTTAATGGATTCCTGATGTTCACTGGTTGATATCGTCACTTTCAAATAATTTCTCCCATTTTTCTGTTTTGTTTTCACCCTCCTAGTTTACCGTGCAGGATTGCAAACACCAGAGAGAAAATCAGTCTCTGGAATGATGCCTTTGATGGACCAAGATGCAGCTGATGAAGCATTGAACCAATTAGCACCTAGCAGGAGGGCACCCTTGCTCTGTGTCCTTGAAGGTTAAAGCTGTCAAAAAGTGGTCTCCCTCAAGTTCGGCCATCTTGCTCTCAGAGATCTAGAACTGGTAGGAGAATATAGCCTTGATAGTGGAGAGGAAACTATTGCTGTTGTGAGGGACTGAGAGAACCAGGCAGAGAGCCCAGATTGACACAGCAGGTGACAAAAGAGGCGCGCCTACCTTGGGGAATACGGAGGAACAGAGGAAAGTGAGACCAGGAGAAAGAGCAGGGGGGCGGGTGTGCAGGCCGGGCGCCGTGGCTCACGCCTGTAATCCCAGCACTTTGGGAGGCCAAGGCAGGCGGATCACAAGGTCAGGAGTTCGAGACCAGCCTGGCCAATATGGTGAAACCCTGTCTCTACTAAAAATACAAAAATTAGCTGGGCGTGGTGGCGAATGCCTGTAGTCCCAGCTACTCGGAAGGCTGAGGCAGGAGAATCGCTTGAACCCGGAACCCGGGAGGCAGAGGTTGCAGTGAGCCGAGATGGCGCCATTGCACTCTAGCCTGGGCGACGGACTGAGACTTCGTCTCAAAAAAGGGAGTGACTGTGTTGCTTTTGCTTTCTTGGAAATCTTTTTTCTTAGTAATTTTCCTAAAGTAATTTCCTTAGGAAATAATGTATTGCTAAGAGTATTGCAACTTTTAGTATTGACGAGGTACTTTTACTGAATCAGTATAAGTCAACAAGCAACCACCAGAAGCTGGAAAAGGCCAGGATAGGATTTTACTCTAAAGTTTCTAGAGGGAGCTGGACGCAGCCCACACCTTGATTTTGGCCCACATACTGATTGTGGATTTCTGGCCTTCAGAAATACATATCTGTTGTAAGAGAATACATATCTGTTGTTTTTAGACAGTTTCTGATAATTTGTTACAGTAACCACAGGAAATTAACACCAGGCACTATGCAGTAAATTCCGTATGAACAACTCAAATATAAGAATTTGTAAGACAGCCGGGCGCGGTGGCTCACGCCTGTAATCCCAGCACTTTGGGAGGCGCGGTGGCTCACGCCTGTAATCCCAGCACTTTGGGAGGCGCGGTGGCTCACGCCTGTAATCCCAGCACTTTGGGAGGCGCGGTGGCTCACGCCTGTAATCCCAGCACTTTGGGAGGCCGAGGCGGGCGGATCACCTGAGGTCGGGAGTTCCAGACCAGCCTGACCAACATGGAGAAACCCCCATCTCTACTAAAAATACAAAATTAGCCGGGCTTGGTAGCGCATGCCTGTGATCCCAGCTACTCGGGAGGCTGAGGCGGGAGAATTGCTTGAACCTGGGAGGCGGAGGTTGCGGTGAGTCGAGATCGCGATATTGGACTCTAGCCAACTCCATCTCCAAAAAAAAAAAAAAAAAAGAATTCTAAGACAGCATAGTTTCCACTGGCATATTGGATAAAAACTTCCGTCAGCAGTGATTTTAATGAAGATGAATGACAAAACAATAAGAAACTCCAGCGCTAGTTAACTTTCTTTATTATGATCTTATTTGTCATAATTTTTTGCACAATGCGTTTTTATTTTAGGACTCAGTCAAAATTTTGGGCCAAGGAGACCGACGCGCTGTCGCCTGCACTAAGAGAAACGCAACGAACAACTTTGTCAATGCATTGCATTATACTATAGCAGCAACTATACTTTTAAATGATTCGAATCTTGAGGTTTCAAACTGAACCGTCTTGTGCCTTTTGCCCGGCGGGCATTTCTGCGGGGACCGCGGGTCACCTTCTGAATTTTTACCTTCATAAACAGCAAGGACTGCGCTCTTTCGCACGGCGCCCCGTTTTTTCGTAGAGTTCCGTCGGCCAAAACCACTTGAAACTCGCTCAGCGGCGTCGGGGCTCCAGCCAGGCGTCACCTTCCACAGCGAACCTGCGAACCACAGCGTCCCCTGGGGGTCTCCGTCCGCGTGGCCGCTTCCTCTTACATCGGTGACGCAAGGGAAGGGCGTCTAGGATCCGCCGGTTTCCTTCCTCACTGCTCCCATCAGTGCGAAAGCAACGTGTTGGGGGTTCGGGGTGTGTGGCGGCTGAACAGCTGCCTGAAGTTCTCTGATGGCGCTGGAGGGAGCTCCAGAGAAGAGGTCATGGGGAGAAGGCACACCTTAAACGCCCCGGGGTGGGGGGGGGGGGCGACATTCCCTAATGGGAAAAAAGACACACCTTAAACGCAGTAGAGGGCGACATTCTCTACTAGGGAAAATGCGGAAGAACACAGTTGTAATCAACGGTAGCGTGGCCGAGCGGTCTAAGGCGCTGGATTAAGGCTCCAGTCTCTTCGGGGGCGTGGGTTCAAATCCCACCGCTGCCAAGTACTTTTCATTCTCACTAGGGACTGTTTTTAGGAGAATCCCTTTCCAAATGTTCAGTATGAATGGTTCTTACGTATCAATCCCATTCTCCTCTTCGACTTCTGTTTACCACGGAGCCAGAGATAACCGTCCCCAGAACAATGTTCCCCCATTATTTAGAGGACAGTGTACTCCAGGCGCCTCAGATACAGCAATGAGTGACACAAGCAAAAAAACCCTTAATGGCACATACTTAGTGAGGTGGCACGATCTCGGCTCACTGTAACCTCCGCCTCCCCGGTTCAAGCCATTCTCCTGCCTCAGTCTCCCGAGTGGCTGGGATTACAGGTGCGCGCCACCACGCCCTGGCTAATTTTTGTATTTTTAGTAGAGACGGGGTTTCGCCATGTTGGTCAGGCTGGTCTCGAACTCCTGGCCTCAAGTGATCCTCCCTCCTCGGCCTCCCACAGTGCTGGGATTACAGGCGTGGGCCACCGCACGCAGCCTGAAGGATTAATTTATGTTTGGAATCAGCTGCTGTTCTTCCTCCAGCCTCTCTGTAGTGTGCTCACTTCACACTTGGAACCATAGTTATATGGTATAGAGAAGAGACAACTCTAGGGAAAGTGCCAGTGCCTTGCCTTACCTTACAACTGCCAGACACACCCAGTCAGGTACCTTCTCTGTGGGCTTCTCAGTACCCCGTATCTCTGTGGTTGCCGGGGGAGCCCTATCTCTCCTCGGAGCAGTTCTCTCTGCATACTTCTGGTCTGTCTCTCATTCTCTAGACCTCAGCTTGGAAGTTGTTTCTCCTTGGAAGCCTTCCCTCATCTCCTTCTCTTCCTCTTTCCAGCTTCATAAAGTTTGGGAGGGTATGGAGAGGATAAGGAAGGGAACAGCACAGAACGTCCTTGCCCCACGGAACTCAGAGTTTAGTGGGGTTCTCATGGGGGTTCACAAGGATTAGATAAGTTATTGCCCTAATATGGGGCAAACTCTACTAAAAAGGAGATAGCTTTCTATGTGTAGATTTTGAATGATGTTCCAGATTTAAGAGAATAAAAAGAAAATAATATGAATTGTATGTTAGAAAGAAGGACTGTCACAGAATTGTTCCCAACTGGGATTACAGGTGCAGGCCACTAGGTCCGGCTAATTTTTGTATTTTTAGTAGAGAGGGGCGTTTTGCCATGTTGGCCAGGCTGGTCTCAAACTCCTGACCTCAAGTGATCCTCCCACCTGGGACTCCCCAAGTGCTGGGATTACAGGTGTGAGCCACCACGCCTGACCACCTTTATTGATTTTTGAATGCTAATCCAACTTCTCCATGCTAGAATAATCTTAACTTGTTCAAGACATGTAATCTTTTAAAAAATGTATATTCCTGGATTCAGTTTGTTACTATCTCAAGATTTTTCTCACTACATTCATGAATGATAATAGCCTGTAATTTTCTTTTTTAAAAAATTTCCTTGTGTTGTTTGTTTTTCCTCATCGTTCCCTAATGGTTTGGTATTAAGGTTATACAGGCCTCATAAAATGAGTTTAACATTGGGATTATTTTCCCTTGCATGTTTAGTAGAATTAACTGGTGAAAACATCTGACCCTTGAGTTTTCTTTCTGGGAATATATATTATAGGTTCTATTTAAATAATTGGTATCAGACTATTCAGATCTTATATTTTTTTCCTGTACTAGTTTTAGAAACAAGAGTCTTCCTAAGGAAATATACCAGATGAACCTGGAAAATCTTTTCACCAGAAAGCAAGGAGGCTACTGAAGACTACTTTAGTCATGTTAAACAAAAAAGGCTTGTGCTGACACCTATGAAGTAGTCTTACCCAAATCAAATCTAAATATAGAATTTGATAAAGCCCTTAGATCTAACTATTAATTTTTAGGACATGCAGGGGCAGAGGAATGTGTTAAATACTACCAAAGGTGTGCAATAATTAAAATCCAAACTGTGAAACTCTGCAGCACCAGCAACCTAGTTAATCATTAAATAAATTTCAAGAAAAAAGAGATATAGGGAGAACTTATATATTAAAATACTTAAGATACATACCAACTAATCACAATGTATTGACCTTATTTGAATACTTTTTTTTTTTTTTTTCTGAGACAGTGTCTCACTCTGTCACCCAGGCTGGAGTGTGGTGGCACAATCACGGCTCACTGCAGCTTTGACCTCCCAAGCTCGTCTCCCGAGTAGCTGGGACCACAGTCATGCACCACCATGCCTGGCTAATTTTTGAATTTTTTGTAGAGACAGGGTCTTGCTATGTTGCCCAGGCTGGTCTTGAACTCCTGAGCCCAAGTGATCTTCTTGCCTTGGCCTCCCAAAGTACTGGGATTACAGGTGTGAGCCATGGTGCCTGGCTTGGTTTTTTTTAATGTTAAGAAAAAATGGCATTAGAGAAAAATTTGAACAGCGAATGAATCTTTGATGATGTTGCCAAATAGATAATTTTGTTTAGGTGTGATAACTGTACTAGTGTTAGTTTACTTATATTTTTGGTTTGTTTTTTAGAGATGGGGTCTTGCAATATTGCCCAAGCTAACCTCAAACTTTAGGGCTCAAGGAGTCCTCCCACTTCAGCCTCTTAAGTAGCTGGGACTACAGCATAGGCCGTCGTGCCCCTGGCTCTATTATTAGTTTGTTAGTTAGTTTGTTTGTTTGTTTATTTATTTATTTATTTATTTTGAGACTGAGTCTTGCTCTGTCGCCCAGGCTGGAGTGCAGTGGCGCGATCTCGGCTCACTGCAACCTCTACCTCCCGGGTTCAAGCAATTCTCCTGCCTCAGCCTCCCGAGTAGCTGGGATTACAGGCGCCTGCCACCACGCCTGGCTAATTTTTGTATTTTTAGTACAGGCGGGGTTTCACCATGTTGGCCAGGCTGGTCTTGAACTCCTGACCTCAGGCAATCCATCCACCTCAGCCTCCCAAAAGTGCTGGAATTACAGGTGTGAGCCACCGTGCCCGGCCCATATTGTTAGTTTTTTTAAACAGTCATTATCTCCTATAGACAATTAAATACTTATGGATGAAACACAATTTCTGTCATTTGCTTGAAAATAATCTTAAGCAGAGGGAATGGGTGGGGATACAGATGAAACAAGATTAACCCTGACGTAATAATTGTTGAAGCTGAATGATGTGTACATGGAGTTCATTTTTCTATTGCCTTAACTCTTGCATGGGTTTGAAATGTTCTATAATAAACTTTATTTTTTATTTATTTATTTTTTTGAGATGGAGTTTCGCTCTTATTGCCCAGGCTGGAGTGCAATGGCACAATCTCGGCTCACCACAACCTCTGCCTCCCGGGTTCAAGCGATTCTCCTGCCTCAGACTCTGAGTAGCTGGGATTACGGGCAAGCGCCACCATGCCTGGCTAATTTTTGCATTTTTAGTAGAGACAGGGTTTCTCCATATTGGTCAGGCTGGTCTTGAACTCCTGACCTCAGATGATCTGCCCACCTCAGCCTCCCAAAGTGCTGGGATTACAGGCAGGAGCCACTGCGCCCGGCCAATACATTTTTTTTAATAGAGGAGGACTATAAAACCTATGGGAAGCTCTGATGGCACGACTATGACTTGCTGATGTTCACTACAGGTTATCTGGCTAGGCCACTTGCTGAGAAACTCCTGATGTATCTTCAAGTCTATTCTGGTTGGATTTCTCACTGAAAACTGCGTCTTTTGTCTGGGAGGTGAAAGCCAGACCCTCATCTTTCTGGGAGATAAGGAAAGTAGGCTGGAGGCGTTGACATTCAGTATGCTCCTTTTTCAAATGGAATTCCTGTCCTCCATGTGTCTAGCCCACATATCCTTTGTTTAACCTTCTTCAGAAAATAAACCTCCAGTCTTCTTTGGGCTTGAGGACCTAGGACTCTGCTTGCTTCCTAAATAGCCTCTGACAGACTCTCCTCGTTTTAGTCTATTCATTCTCATTTCCAGGGGTACATGGTGCCACCAATTCTTGAGTCGCTTAAAGATTCTATGATGTAAAATAAATGTCTTTTTTTTTTTCTTTTCTTTTTTAGAAGGAGTCTCACTCTGTTGCCCAGACTGGAGTGCAGTGGTGCAATCTCGGCTAACTGCCACTTCCGCCTCCCACTCCCCAGTAGCTGGGACTACAGGCACGCACCACCAAGCCCAGCCAATTTTTCTATTTTTAATAAAGAGACAGGGTTTCACCATGTTGGCCAGGCTGGTCTCAAATTGCTGATCCCAAGTGATCTGCCCATCTCAGCCACCCAAAGTGCTGGGATTACACGTGTCAACCACGGTGCCCGGTCAGATTTGTCCTTTACTTGCCCCCTTCAGGCTAAAATTTAGCTTTCTCAAATTCAATGTCATTATTACTTATCCTTTTTTCAGTTTCCAAAATTTTGTAGTTGCCTCTTCTGCCATTCTTCCTGATTATGAATGGTTTTACTGTAGCATTAGTGTAGTTCTGAGGGGGAGCAATACCAAATACACGTAGTCAAGCTACAATCCTTACCAAGAAGTATCTTATCATCTTTCTTAAACTTAAATGAAATTGGCATTCTCCATTTCTTTTGTGAAGGTAAAAATAATCTCATATCAGTGTTCTGGTAAAAATTTTGTGTTTGCACGTGGAATGTAATTCGATTTAAAAAGTGAGTTTTACCTGGTGATTTTTGTATGTAAATTATAACTTAGACTAACTCTTGTTTGGTAACTCTTCAGAATTAGAACTACAGATATCTTAGGGTTTCAAGCAACATGTTTTGTCATTCAACTATGCACCTGACCTTCGAATTCCTTCAGTATTATTCTTACCAAACTTATTACCTTATGGCAGAATCTGTTCCAGTTGAGTATCTCCTAAATGTACAGATGTCCTGTAGCTTCTACTTGTGGATTGTAATTCTATTCTGGGATAGTTGCAGAACAAGATTAACCCACTGTTCATAAAGTAGTCCTTCAGAATTTTCAAGACATATCTTTTTCACCAGGTAAAAATCTAAAATTTATTCAAATACGCTCTCAAAATATTCATTTTATGTGTTTAGGAAACATCAAAAGACTTCTGGAGGTCAGACTAGTAATTTCTTTTTTTTTTTTTTTTTTTTGAGATGGAGTCTTGCTGTGTTGCCCAGGCTGGAGTGCAGTGACACGATCTTGGCTCACTGCAACCTCTGCCTCCAGGGTAGCTGGGACTACAGGCGTGCACCACCATGCCTGGCTAATTTTTGTATTTTTAGTAGAGACAGGGTTTCACCATATTGGCCATGCTGGTCTCGAACTCCTGACCTCGTGATCCTCCCTCCTCAGCCTCCCAAAGTGCTGGGATTACAGGCATGAACCCCCGTGCCTGACTCTTATCTGTGATTTCTAAACCTGTTCTCTCCCTGCCTCCCTTTTCACTTTGAATCTTAGCAATCCTGATACAATATGGAGAAGTACCATTCTAGCTTTATGTTAAAAAAATTGCTAAAAATGATTGGTGTTTATAAATTACAAACTGTTTTCTGCTGAACTGAGGTATAACTTCATGTCGGAAAGATGTGGTGCACGCATATGGGAATTGCCTAGGAAAGCCTGAGCACAGAATTTACTAGTTACGTGATCCTGGGCAAGTTTGTTAATCTTTCTGTGCCTCAAATTCCTGATCTCATAGGGATGTTGTATGGATTTAAAAAGTTTAAATGTGTAAATCCCTTAGAACAGTGCCTAGAACACAGCAAGCACTAATAAGTGTTTATTAATATTAGGAAGTGATTGATAAACTCTTGGAAGTAAATGTGCTCACTGAAAAAATAGTGAATAAGAAGGTAAAGGACAATGTCTTTGGGGAATCTCACAATTAAGGGTCAGGAAATCAGGAATAACTAATATAAGAGACAGAAGGACCAGCCTAAGAGGTAGGAAAAACAGAAAGTAACACCAGAATCGTTATACTCAGGCACTGGTCAAAATACTGACTACTGAGGTCTGAGAAACAGTCACTGGAGAGAGGGATTTCCTACTCCCATCAAGTTCATGGGTACTCCATACTTGATGTTTTCTTTTCTTATGTCCAGTAAGATTTGAGCTCACTCTAAAAGCTTTTCCACATTCCTCACATTCATAAGGTTTCTCCCCAGTATGAACTCGCTTATGTCCAATCAGAGCTGAGCCCTGACGGAAGGACGTGCCACACTCACTGCAGGTGTATGGCTTCTCACCAGTGTGGATTCTTTTGTGCTGCCTCAGGACTGAACTATGATGGAAGGCCATTCCACATACCTCACATTTGTGAGGCTTCTCTCCAGTGTGAATTCTTCGATGATTGGTCAAGTTTGACTTCCCACTGAAAGCTTTCCCACACTCTAAACATTTGTAAGGTTTCTCTCCAGTGTGGATTCTCTGATGGATGGTAAGGCAGTGCTTATCTTGGAAGGTTTTCCCACAATCCCTGCATTGATAGGGCTTCTCCCCTGTATGCTCTCGTTCATGAGCCCTGCGCTTACAGTTATGACGAAAGGCTTTCCCACACTCCTCACACCTGTAACGTTTCTCTTCAGTGTGGATCCTTCTGTGTTTGGTGAGTTCTGCCTTGATGCTGAAGTCTTTTCCACACTGGGGACACCCATAGTGTTTCTCCCGAGTATGGATTCGTTTGTGTTTGCTTAGGTCTGAGCTCCGACTGAAGGCCCTTCCACACTTGCTGCACTCATAAGGTCGTTCCCCAGTGTGGATTCTTATGTGTTTGGTGAGGTCTGAACTCCCACTGAAGGCCTTCCCGCACTCCTCACATTCATATGGCTTCTCCCCAGTGTGGATTCTGCCATGGATGGTAAGGGAATGCTTAAACTGGAAGGCCTTCCCACAGCAGTTACATTTGTAAGGCTTCTCCCCGGTGTGGATAAGCTGATGCATACAGAGACGGTTCCTGGTCTTGAAGGCCTTCCCACAGTCCCTGCACTCGTGAGGCTTCTCCCCACTGTGGGTTTTTTTATGTCGGCAAAGAGCTGATCTACTGTTGAAAGCCTTCCCACACTGGGTGCAATTAAAAGGTTTCTCCCCTGTGTGGATTATCCGGTGCATAGAAAGCTGATTTCTGGTCTTGAATGCTTTCCCACACTCATTACACACATGGGGTTTCTCACCAGAATGAATTTGCTCATGGAGAATTAGATCTGAGTGCCAACTGAAGTTTTTGCCACACCTGGCACATTCATGGAGTTTCTGTGCTATAAGAACTTTATTACATTGACTATGTTTTGAGTTTGGATTCAAGTTTTTACTAAGCACTTTCTGGTTCTTTCCTTTTTTGCAGGTCACTTCCTCAGAGCCTTCTTTCTCTTCTCTCAGTTTCTCCCTTATAGATGTTTCCCATTGATTCTCTAATTTGACATCCTGAACACAAACTTCTCTAACCTTAGGATCCCGGGAATCAACTTTTAGGAGACTGTTAAATTTCATCCAGTAGGCTTCTCCATTTTCAAAAATCTCTTGTTGTGAACTTGCCTTTTCATTCTCAGGCCACATCTTGTCAGCTGACACTTAAACAAGAAAATACAAATGTCAGAGGGAAGGAAATAAGTGAGATGGGAGGCGTGAAGCAATGTTAAGCTGTTTGAAGAGTAAATAACTTTTCCATGCTGGAAAAATTACTAACGTTGTGGCCAAAAGTCAGAACAGGCTGAAATAATGAAAAGTATTGAGATATTTTACACTCAGCACACTTTATAAAAAATCCTTAAAAACCTATTCCTCCTCTATAGTCTCCTAGTTTAGTGAGTGTAAACTCTATACACCTAGTCATCTAAGCCACAAAACAAAATAATCTTCAACTCTGTCTCCCTTGTATTTACCCAGCTAACATTTTACAAATTCTACCTGTGAAGAGAGTTACAGAGGAGGTGCTGAAATGCTGATGCAGTCCCTTTTCAAGGAACTGTCTGCTTTGCTCCCAAGGGTGGGCCCTGGAGAGCCATATTTCTGTTATGTGACTCAGCCCATCTGGTTGGGGCAGATTAGATCTGTGCAATACCTGACCCAAACCAGGTCAGATTCTCTAATCCTGGACTTTAGAATTGTGATCTGACGGCAGGTAAGGCCAGCTCTAAGAGTAGCTCAGTCTTTAGCACTTAAATTTGAGAACTAGTGGTGGTGGGATGGTATTTGGTACAGAGGAGGGAATGTTCTGCCATCTGGTCCGAGAAGAAGAGAAGGTCAATTTGCCTAGAAAGAAGAATGAAGCTGACTCACAAAGAAGCAGGGAATACAGTTGGAAACCTGATGGTTTTGAGTCTCTTCTAGGGCCTGACACATAGCTGCCCTTAGGTCCCATGACACATCCTGAATAATAAATAAATTCATGTTTTTCTGCTTAAGCTAGCTTGGGTTAATTTCTATTGCTGTCAACCAAAGACTCCAAATACATCTTATTAATATTATCTCTGAACTCTATCTCTTCCTCTTTATTTCCACTGCCAGTGCATTCTCACTAATTGCTATATCCCTCAAACATCCTTTACCCTGAATCCCTTCTAATCCATCCTCTGCACTGCTTCCAGATTATTCTCTCTGAAAATCAAGTCTAATCATGTCACTTTTTAGCTTAAAATACTTCAATGGCACTCCATAGTTAACCAGACAGGAAGAAAGTAAAGCATACGGTCAAGAGTCCTGGCTCTAGAGTGAGACTGCCTGGGTTCAAATCCTAGTATGACAGTTAATAAATCTTAATACCTGTGTGAACTTGGGAGGATGACTTCACTTCTCCTTTGCCTCAGTTGCTTTATCTAAATGAGTTAATGTATGTAAAGCACATGCCACACTGAAGTACTTTAATCAATATTAGCTGTTATTGTAAGTTCAAGTTTTGTAGTTTAAATTCCTTAAGAAAACTCCCAAAAAACAGACGTCATATCATGATCTTGCCCCTTTCTACTACTTATGAACCTCCCCAAAGCTATTCTAAGTCCCCTGCTCTACTCACACTGAACAATTCATAGTTCATATTATTTTATTCCTCAATGCTTTCTCACATGTTATTCCTTCTGCCTAGAATGACTCTCACCTGTCTCAATTTATGAGCACTGCAGTAACTGACACACAGAAGGGTAATAAATATTCTGAGATTTTTTTTTTTTTTTTGAGGTGGAGTCTCACTGTGTCCCCCGGGTTGGAGTGCAGTGGTGTGATCTCAGCTCACTGCAACCTCTGTCTCCTGGGTTCAAATGATTCTCCGGCCTCAGACCTCCCAAGCAGCTGGGATTACACCCAGCATGCACCACCACACCCAGCATGCACCACCACACCCAGCTAATTTTTGTATTTTTAGTAGAGATGGGGTTTCACCATACTGGCCAGGCTGGTCTCAAACTCCCGACCTCAGGTGATCTGCCCATCTTGGCCTCCCAAATTGCTGGGATTACAGGCATGAGCTACTGTGCCCAGCCTCTGAGCCTTTTTTGAGGGCCAAATTGCAAAAATCTATTAGATAGGTTGCAAAGAACCAATTAGATAATAACAGAATAATTGCCCAAATAGTTTGTCACTGTTTCAATTTTCTTTTCCTTAAGTTTCCTAAATGGGTTTCCTTTCTGGGCCCTTCGACTGGATGATCCACCACTGAGAATGTTCCATAACCATTATGCCACATGGAAGATCAGAGGGAACTGAAAGTTTCTCTATTACTCACCTGGGTAGGAGCAGCTTAGGGACTCCCTGTCCTGTGGATCCTGCACACAGGGGTCTACTTCTCGCTCCAGATGAGAGATTAAAGGAGGTTTAGGAAATGGAAATCCTGGTTGCAGAGAAGAAATAAGTGTGTAGAGTAACTTATAACTTAATAACTTATAACTTAGCTAAGCAGCCCTGATCCTTCTGTTTGTATATGAAAACAGGAAAGAAATGTTAATTTAGATAGAGAAAAGGGTTTTTCAGGGGTCTAGTAACATGTAAAAGAACATGTTTGGGGACTTTCTCAGAAAAGTCACACTCAGAAGGAAAGAGAAGTTCTGGGAAACAGTCATTTGGGTGTGCTCTCCTGTTTTTTTTTTTTTTAATTTTATTTTGTTTTACTTTAGGAGAATGGGAGTCTGGTATAGGAAGACTATCAGTTTCAGGCACATAGAAGGCAGTTCTTGACTAGGAGCGGAATATAGAACACCCCATAAAAAAATGAGAGGCTTGAGGAAGCAAGAACCCAGGGAAAACAGAAGGTAAATGTCTCCTTTTAACTCATTCCAAATCAGAAAACAGCAACTAGGTTAGCCAAAAAATTATCTTGCTATGTAATAGAGGCAACTCAAAACTCTTAATTTTTGGGCAAGATCCTGATGATAAAGAATAAGGACTCTTTCAATATGAGACCTTATATACATCAATAAATAAATCAATTAAATAATAAAAAAAGAAGGTAGAAAGCATTAAGTGTAGGGAAGGTCCTTACCAAGTGATACCATGTTCCCATAATTTTCCAACATCACATCCTTATAGAGATGCCTTTGAGCGTAGGTCAGACACTGCCACTCCCTGTTAGTGAAGTTCACAGCTACATCCTCAAATGTCACTGACTCCTGAAATAATATGCTCCTGCTATCCTGGAGAAAACGCCATAGTTTCCTCAGGAAACAGAGGCAGAAGAAAGGAATTTGCAAGGAGGAGGTTTATAGAAGTGAAAGGCTCTTCCCTTTTGGTGGGTATGTACAAATGAGATGAAAGGGAGCATGGGGTTTTGATAGCAAAAAATAATGAAAGAGAAAACAACCCACAAGTGGTTTATCATGCAACAAAATGTTCCTTATGAGAGGGAGAACATTGATTTAGGAGTTGCACAGCCAGAGAACGCAGTGAAAACAAGGCCATATTTTGGAGGTAGTGATGTATTTTCAAGGAGGAGGAAAGGGGCCTCAGCTCACTTGGGCCTGGCTCATTAGTGTGATATCTGCTTGCGGCAGGTTTCCTTGGCTTCCATCTTTAGTGAAGGCAGGATATGGAGCAGGTAATAGAGCTGAGGGAAGATAAGTAAGCCAAGAGTCAATATAGCACAGTATTAATGAAATCTCCTGCATTCGTCTTCTCTTCCTCAAATGTAGAAGCTTCTGCAGCTCTAACCTAGGGCTTTAGGCTACTGCCTTACAGTATCCTTCCTCTTCATTATTTTTCTAGTCTCAACTTCCAGTGTTGGGCATCAGGCCCTGGCACAGCAGCCAAGGCAGCTCTTGGAAATGCACTCTTTTCCTGTCTCACCTACTGTTTTCCTGTGGTCTTTGTCCTGGAATAAACTTTCCCCCTCCCCAAACAGATCTGGTAAAAAGGCCCAAATCACTTATTCCCTGGTTTTGAATAGACCTTCTTCCTGTATTTGAATACTGAAGTCATTTCTTCCAAAATACTTGGGGTAGAAGGAGGGTGAAAAAGAGTGTGTGCATGCACGCGTATGTGTGTGTGTGCATATGTGTTGAACAGAAGCATCCAGGGATAGGACCAAAGCTTATTTTTTCAGGTAACTTAATGGCTGGTCTACCTCCAGTTAGTTACAAATTTTTTTCCTTATTCCTCTTAGAGAAGAATCATTCTTCCCGATTTTGCACATTTTTCCTACTAATTCCCTAGTACTGAGTTATCCTCCCTATGTCAATATAGTATAGCACACAGAGCATTTTAAAATGCAAAAGAAACTTTATAAAGAGTGTCCAAGTGTTCAGGTATAATCCATATGATTGGGTGAGAAGTAGTTTCTTTTTTTTTTTTTGAGACTTAAGAGTCTCGCTCTGTCTCCCAGGCTGGAGTGCAGTGGCGTGATCTTGCCTCACTGCAAGCTCTACCTCCTGGGTTCACACCATTCTCCTGCCTCAGCCTCCCAAGTAGCTGGGACTACAGGTGCCCACCACCATGCCTGGCTAATTTTTTGTATTTTTAGTAGAGATGGGGTTTCACCATGTTAGCCAGGATGGTCTCCATCTCCTGACATCATGATCCACCCGCCTCGGCCTCCCAAAGTGCTGGGATTACAGGCATGAGCCACCACGCCCAGCTGAGAAGTAGTTCATATTACTAATTAATAGGGCCTGACTTTATTCCTTGCAGGCCAGCTCAATCTTTCTGTAGCTTCAATGTTTAAGGTGCCTTATTTTTCTTGATAGTTTATCAACACATCGCCAAGTCCAAATCTGAATAATTGCTGTCTGCTTTTAAGACACCAGCAGGGTCAAAGTAATCTATTGGTAAGATTTTATAATCACCCTTTGGATTTAGACCTCCAAGACTATCATTCCATTTTTACGAAAAACCGATTTAGAACCAAGCTGATTTCTTTTCACTGAAATTGCCCAAGAAGACTCTTCTTTAGTTTCAGCTACTTATAGCTTTTGACCAAGACCAAGGCTGCATCTCAGTCATGGTGGTTCCATACAGTTTTTCCACTGTCTCACTCTAAAAGCTCCGAGCTCCTTTATAACTGTCTCAAAAAGTCTAAACTCATCTGGATGGCACACAACTCACAGCAGACACATGTTTGTGCCTTGTTAATGTTACATAACAGTTCTTTTCCTTATAACATTAACACACTTAAAGCTCTCAATTGGATGTTTTCAACCATTATTTTATTATGAATATTTTCAAGTATATAGAAAAGTTGAAAAAATTATATAGTAAATATCCATATACCAATCACTTACATTCCACAATTTACGTTCTGCAATATTTGCTTTATCACATACTTATCCATTTATCTATTCCTCTCTCTGTTCATTAATGTATTTTATTTTTTGAATCATTTCAAAGTAAGTTGAAAGCATCAGTACACCTCACCCCTAAACAGTTTAACATGTATATCATTAACTGGAAGTTCAACATTTGTTTACCTTCTTTTTCGAGGTAAAATTTACATATAATGAAATGCACATGTCTTAAATGTACCCTTAGAGAAACTTTGACAAAAGCATACCCCTATGTAACTCATTCCCTACTGGTTTTTACCATATCTTCTTCACAACTGGGAAAGTCTGTCACTCATAGTGATTCATAAGCTTTATTTTTTAGCTTTAGCTTTAGAAATTGAAAGGTTATTCCTCTTAAGTTAAAAATGAATTTAGGAAACAGGCTACATGAAAAAACAACATAAAACTTTTTGTTAAAGCAGTATACAGATATCTTGTGGGATAAGATTAATACATTTGTATTGTATTATATGATAGGTGGCTACAGAATTTCTGACCCTGAAAATCCACCACAGCAGATTTCACGACCATTTGAGAAAAAGAAGACTGGGAGACTCGTGCATCCGAGTTTAGCAATAGCTATTATTTTTTATTTCTAAATCTATAAAAAATTTATGTTCTATATTATTAATTCTCATTTGTGATCCCTTGTACAGCAGATATCTCAGGATTCCTCCTCTAGATGTTTCAACACTATATCTAGAAACACATTTTATTTTTATTTTTTGCAGGTAGCATATACTAAAAAGCTTACTTTTGAATGTGCCTACTCCTCTGTCCAAAAGTCTATGCCTTTCTGGGTTTGATTTTATGACTCCTGAATTGCTATATACTATCTCCTAGGTTGCACCTCCAACAGCAATTTTTTTTTTTTTTTTTTTAGACAGAGTCTCACTCTGTTGCCCAGGCTGGAGTGCAGTGGCATGATCTCAGCTCACTGCAACCTCCACCTCCTGGGTTCAAGCAATTCTTCTGCCTCAGCCTCCTGAGTAACTGGGGTTACAGGTGCATTACACCACACCTGGCTAATTTTTGTATTTTTAGTAGAGATGGGGTTTCACCATATTGGCCAGGCTGGTCATGAACTCCTGACCTCTAGTGATCCACCCACTTAGGCCTCCCAAAGTGCTAGGATTACAGGCATAAGTCACCGCACCCGGCCTACCATCAGCTTTTATACAAATCTTAACCACTTTTCCTCCTCACATACGCCACCAAAGAGCACAAGGCTTCAATGGGAAAACTTTTGCTTCTTCTTTTGTCACTGCTTTATTTTATATTTTGGAGATATCTATACATCATTTAAAAGTATCAGGGCTCCAGAAAGGTCTGCAGAAGTAAAATTGTATATATTCAAATTTTACATGTTGGCAAAATTATGTTTGGGTAGGAATTACTGAATTATACCACAAGTTTTATAAGTGTAAAATATGTGCAAATATGTACGCTATTTACCATATATCTCAGGTTATACAAACAGTAAATGCCTGACTGCATTGATTCTTTCTGATAAATTGCTTTGTAGAATCTTTTACACACTGATTTTTTTCAAAATTTAAGATACTGACAGAAACTGAATATTTAGTTCCTCTAGATATTGATCCAAGCCTCGTATAGAAACAAAATAAGACTTTCTATAAATGCTCATTAATGAACAGATTTTTGGGCCCCAGTGTGGCATTTTCCACCCACTCTGTGTCCTTACTACATTCTCAGCTGCCGTGACTCCTGCCACAATCTCCTGTGTATCTCACCGCTTTCCTGAGGGAGCTGGGTATCCTGGCGGGTCCAAAGCAGCTGGCTTGGTGGTCCTGAACTCTCATCCAACAGCACAACCTATTGCAAGACACAGAATGAATTCAGGAAAGTTATGAAGGTGAGAAAAATACATAGGAAGATGCAAGCAACCATACAGGTCTATCCACAGAAACTGTCTCCCAGAAATACCAAAAGAAGGGAGAAAATAATGGACTCAGTTCCTAATACCTTATGAAAACTAGAAATGGCATCTACAACTACAAAGCTTTAATGATCACCAGGTCAAGCAGCAAAAACAGTATCTAGGAGGAGACACCTCCAACAGTATCTAGAGTCAGACACACCTCCACTCACACTGCTTTCCTTCTTTCTTGGACTCACTTCTCCTTCTTCCTCCTTGTGATGTATCACAGACCCTCCTCTTCTTACCTCCTGCATCTTTTTACTCAGGTTTCTTTAACAGTCTTCCACTGCTGTCCTGGTTTCTTCCTACTGGTCAGATCCAGTTCTCAAACAAGCTGTGAAGTGGCTCCAGTTGATGCCAGCCTCCTTTGGAGAACACATGTTTTGGTGGTGCCAGCCAAAGGGCCCTTCTTGACCCACAGTGCCGCTACTGTTTGGCTTAATGTGTCAAACACTGCCCTGGATTTGGGGTTCATTAGCAACACTAAACCGCTGTGATCTCACATCTTGTTTCCCTGCATATTTGGTGAAGGGAAAAGAGGAATGTGACCACAGGAAAAAATAGGGAGTCACTGAGAACCTGAGGCACGAAGTCAAACTGAAAATGTGAACATATCCAGAATACAATCTCAACGGCTACCACCCTTGTCTGAGCCACCATCACCTGCTATCTCCCCTCCTTTCCATTACTGCGGTAGTCTTCTAACTGGTCTCCTTTCTTCAATCCTTGCCTTCCTCCTTTCTTTTTTTTTTTTTTTTTTTTTTTTTTTTGAGACGGAGTCTCGCTCTGTGGCCCAGGCGGGAGTGCAGTGGCGCAATCTCGGCTCACTGCAAGCTCCACCTCCTTTCTTAATAGGGCAGTCTGAGTAGTCCGTTTACAACTTGAGTTGGATCATTTCATCGCTCTGCTGAAAACTCTCCAGTGGTTCATACTTAAAATAAAACCTGAAGTCCTTACCGAGGTATACAAGGCCCTACTGAATGTGCCCGTGACTTCTAACTTCCTCTCCTGCTCACCCAAAATAAGAGCTGAAGTCTTAAGAGTGGCATACAAGTCTACAGGATGTGTCATTCTCAACACCTTCTACTCTTCTCCCACTCCCTCAATCTTCAGCCATACCGACCTTCCTTCTCTTTCATCTTAGGGCCTTTCCATTGGCTGCTCCCTTCACCTTAAGCGATCTCCATGGCTAATAATCTTGCCTCCTTCAAGTGTTTTCTTATAGGTCATCTTCCCAAGGAGGTCTACTCTGAGTGCCTTATTTAAAATTGCAGCCTATCCCCTCCTTCCAATCCTGATGGGCCTTACCTTGCTTTACATGAATTCTTCTTTTCCTCTATAGCACTTTATAATTTTCCAGTATGGTGCATAAGTTACTTATTAATATATACATTGTTTACGGTGGTTCTACCTTCGCTAAAATCTAGGCTCTTAGGCTCCATGAGGGCAGGAATTTTTGTCGTCTTGTTCACAGTTGTATTCTCAACGCCTAAAACAGCGCTTGCAATAGTATGTGCTGGATTAAAAATTAGCTGACTGAATGAATATATGAATGGATGCTGTAGAGAAGAATAAAAAGAATGGGTCAGGAGGCGACAAGAGCAAGACTCCGGTCTCAAAAAAAAAAAAAAAAAATGGGTCACGAGCCCCTGGGAGGAGGTAGGGCAAATGGGCGGGAAATGCTCATTTTGGGGAATGGCTTCGAGGGAGGAAACCGCAGCCGACTCCCTCCTCAAATCTGGCCCCAAAGACCCGCCCCTGCCTGCAACCCCAGGGGCCCGGGTATTTAGGTGAGGGGGGCGACGGCGGCACCGGACTCCTCTCCTCTCAGCTGCAAATTCCGACCCACGACGGCCCAAGGCACAGACCTTCCCGCCGGTACTCTCCCCAAGAAATGAGAAACAGAAATATACAGAAGCTCCACTTCCTAGTCCGCCAATTATCATTTCCGGTGATTTTCTAGGAAAGGCGTCAACTCTCTGGTCTAGGCGTTCCCTTAAACTCTCCGCCCTCCTCCTCGCGGCTCAGCCTTCTAGGAGTTTGCGTGCGTTTATGGCCTGTGCAAAGGGGTTGCAGAAATATTACCCTTTTGCTCCTTTTTTCCCATGTAGAGGAACCTCTAGATAGGAATGGACAGAAGTTTTGTGACAAATATATGAAAAAGTTACTTTTAAATATTAACTAAGAACACAAATAATTGAATGTCTTTTTCAAAAGTAAAGACTATTTTAAGCCTATGCAGAAGTCGAAAGAAGAGTATAATTAACCCATATATACCCATCATTTACATTTAAAAATACATAAAATTCTGCCACACTTGTTTCATCCATCTCCATTTTTTCTTGCTGAAACGTTTTAAAGCAAACCCCAAATATCTTACTTTCAACTTCATTATGCATTTATTTTAAAAAGGATATTTTCCTACAGAATCACAATACCATTATCCCATTTAACAAAATAATTCCTGGTTATCATCTAATACCAAGTCCATATTATATTTCCCTAAATATATACATATGCTTCTTACATTTGTTTTCTATTTCATTCAAGATCTAAAGTTCCAGTATTTAATTTGGGCATGTGTCTTAATTCTTTTAAAATTCACATCTGAACTAGTTCCTCCTTCCATCCTCCTCTTCGTCTTCCCCTCATATAGTCAACTAATTGAACAAATTGGGACATTTGTCCTGAATGTTCTACATGCTGGCTTTGTCTATTTGTGTCCCCATTTTATTAGTTTCTCTAGCCTCATATTTCCTGTAAAACTTGATGTTACCTCTAAAGGTTTGATTAGAGTTAGGTTTAACTTTGTTAGTAAGAATCCTTAGGTGGTGCTATGTACTTTTTGCCACACATCAGGAAGCATATAATGTTTTTGATGCTAAGATTGACCAGTGGGTTTAATACTTGATAGCTGAATCCTTCCATGTAAACTTTCCCACTGGCTTTTAATCTGATAGATTCAGCCACCCCATTTCATTAGAGTTTGTAAAATTGTAATTTTTCTAATTCAATAATTTTTTCACATTTATTAGTTAGAACTCCTCTATAAAGAAAAACTTTCCTTCATCAATTTAGCAATTTAGGGCTATTTGGTTATCCTGAAATGTAGTTTGTACAGGAAAGAAAGACTGTTTAATTTTCAACATAATTGCCAATTTTCAGAAAAAGCAGTTGTGCCTTAGGTGCCATCAATGGTAACCACCTTACAAAATGTGATAGCCATCCTATAAAATGGCTAGCTGGGCCCTACTGTCCAGCATTCACATCCTTGTGTAGCCCCCTTCCACATTGTACCAGGGTTGGTTTGTGTGACTGAATGATCTGGTAAAAGTGATGCTATGTTTTGTTTGTTTGTTTGTTTGTTTGTTTTGTTTTTTGAGACAGAGTCTTGCTCTGTTGCCCAGGCTGGAGTGCAGTGGCGCGATCTTGGCTCACTGAAATCGCCACCTCCCGGGTTCAAGTGAGTCTCCTGCCTCGGTTTCCCAAGTAGCTGGGACTATAGGCATGCATCAGCATGCCCAGCTAATTTTTATATTTTAGTAGAGATAGAGTTTCGCCATGTTGGCTGACTGGTCTTAAACTCCTGGCCTCAAGTGATCTGCCCACCTTGGCCTCCCAAAGTGCTGGGATTACAGCCATGAGCCACCGCACCTGGCCGATGCTACATTATCTCTAATATTAGGTTATAAAATAATCTACGGCTTCTGTTTTGGTCTGTTTTTCTTTCGTAGATCACACACCCTTGGGAAAGCCAAATGCCATGTTGTAAGGAGAGGCCCAGGTGGTGAGGAACTGAAGCCTCCTGCCAGCAGACACATGAGTGAGTTTGGAAGTGGATCTTTCTACCTTAGTCAAGCTTTCAGATGACTGCAGCCCTGGTTGATGTCTTGGGTGCAACCTTATGACATACGCAGGACCACCAGCCAAGCTGCTCCCAGATTTCTGGTCTTCAGAAGCTGGGGAATGGCTTTGAGGGAGGAAACTGCAACAGATGTTTGGTTCTAAGTTTTATAACTAATGCAAAATTTTGTTTTCTCTTTTTGTGCATCTAATGTGCACTAATGTAAAATCTTTTTGTGCAACTAATGCAAAATTTTGTTTTCTCTTTTTGTGCACAACATCAAGTGTTCTGCATCAGTTGATAACTAATGCAAAATTTTGTTTTCTCTTTTTGCATATCAATATGAACACATGGATTTAAAAAAATACATTCAATGAGTCTCAATCAATTGCAGTAGTTATTCTTTTTAATGTTCAAATTATTTCATCTTTGGTCAGTGGGAGTCCCTTTATTTTATCTCCTGTGTCCTTTTCATCCAACTCTAAGCGTCTTTGCTTTTTTCCTTTATGGCAAGATAAATGTTTCAGACACATGTCATACATTTCCTGCCTCAGACCTGGAATCAGCCATTTTTCCAAGGTGTTCTGGTGCTTTCAGTGGGGGCAAGGATTGCATACCTTTGTGAATAGTCATGGTTAGCTGTTTTAAAAATGTATCAAAATGAAATAAAATTTGCTTAATTATGAGATTAAATCCTGGCTACCCCACTCACAATGTGTGTGTATCATACCTTAGACCCACCCTAGTTTGTCTATCTGCAAAATGGGTCCAGTGTAAATACCTAAATTTCAGAGCCGTTATAAGGATAAATTAGTTAATACGTGGAAATCACTTAACACATTGCCTGGCATCAAATTTCATGATGAGAATAACTGCAAACCTGGAAGATACTATAATGGTAATGAGGTATACTTTCTTCATTTTATACTTGAGAAAATTGAGGCCCAAGAGATTAAAAACTTGTTTGTACAAAAGAGGATAAAATTAGAAGAGAATCTAATGATTTCAGACTCTTGGATCTCATACCTAGACTACTTTGGATATAAATGCAGCCTTTCCAGCCCAGTCGGGTCTTCTATTTATTCAAAGACAAAGGAGGTAAGAAAATACTTGGCACAGTAGCAATAAAGTGGTATTATGGGAAGTGCAGAAACTTTATATTGAGAAGATCTTGTTCCTGATTCTGCAACTTGTTAGCTATGATACTGTGAGCAAGTTACTTAATTTCTCTGTGTCTTAATTGCTGCATCTGTAAAATAGTGAAAACAAATCCCTTATGCACAAATTCATTGTGAGAGGGTTAATATACATATATTGTATATGAAAATGCCTGGCCATATTGCTTGCTGAATAAAAATCATTATACAAAAATAATTTCTTCAATCCCCCAATTTTATAAAATTTTATTCTCATCTAATGGAAATTGGCATTTTAAGTAGAATGATCCCTAAGGATACTAAGTCTATAATTTTGTAAAGGACTTTAGTGAATACTGTGCAAAGGCACTGTGCAAGGAGCTACAGGAGAGATGCTATGCGTGGTCATCTACCTTCCAGGCTGACTGGGTACAGTCTTTCTTCCCAATATTAATCTACTTAATAGTAATAATGTCCAGTTCACATATTTTTGTGCAATACATTCATGAAAGACTGCTATACCCTTTGCTGTTATAAAGATACTTCCACAGTAGACTGTTAGCATATACTTTAATAATCTAGTTGGATTAAGAGACATTTATTTACATTATTTCCTCTAGGCTAACCACAATCGCTCATAAAACATCTCCTAAAATAATTAATACTGGAATTTTACCAGGGATCCATGTCAAATTTTTCACCCTGTTAATTCCACAGTTCACCTTCTTACTTTTTGAAAATTTGGATATTTGTCAGACTTGGGCATTTGTTGCACTACTCAAAAATGGGCTTCAGGGGTCCTGTGGCCAATCCTCCTGAACTTTAGTATGCTTTAAGCTGGGCATGAAAACTTGTAGTTACTGTTTAACTACCTTCCTTATGTAAATGTTTGTCCTATCATTCTCAACTTGAAGGTCACGACACTTGATGGAGATATGAAAGCCTGATAATGTTAAGTAATTTTATGGCCCTTCTGCCATCTGTCAAAATTACAAAATTCATTTCCTGGGGCTTTTGAAAAAAATAGCAAATATTTCAGGCATACTAAAGAGTAATATAAAGAACACTCAACATCTAGCTTAAGACATAAAAGATTATATACACAATTAAATCACCATGTCTACTCCTCACCAATTCCTTCCCCCTTCCTTCCCAGGTTAACTACTATCTTGATTTTGATGTTATTATTCCCATGCATGTTCACATATTTTTAGTACATACGTGGGTAGCCACAAATATTATATAGTATAATTTACATGTTTTACAAATTTTATACAAATAGTTTCAGTTTGTACATATCCTTTGAGCTCTAAATACTTGATTTCATTTTGGTTCAATATTTTTGGCAAGAATACATTATAGGGGTTACTATGTAATTTGTACTCAACTTTACATGTAGTTTTGAGATTTATCCTTCATGAAAAATGTGGCTCTAGCTCATCCATTTTAACTGCCATAGACAGGTCTTCCCATTTTCCTTCCAATAATCTTTTTAATTAACCTGATTGTTTTTCAGTTCAACTCAGAACTTGCTAGCAAGTATTTTTTTTGTCTTTGATATTTCATTTAAAAAATATTGGCAATCTTTTTGAAATAATTGTTTTCTTGGAATTTTCCCTTCTAAAAGGGTAATTTCCCATAATTTTTGGTAGAAAGTTTATATTCTAATATGGGAAAGAACAATCTAAAAAGTATTTACTATGGTACATAGAGGAAACTTAAATGCATATTATTAAGTGAAAGAAGCCAATTTGAAAAGGTTACATTCTGTATGATTTCAACTATATGACATTCTGGAAAAGGCAAAACTATGGAGACAGTAAAAAGATCATATATGTAGCATCTTAACCAAAGAAAAAAAAGTTCAGTGGTTGTCAGGGGTTGGAAGTGGAGAAGGATGACCAGGCCGAGCACAAAGGGTATTTTTAGGGCAGTGAAAATACTACGTATGATTATGTAATGGTGGATACATGCCACTATACATTTGTCCGGACTCCAGGTGATTGTCAATGTAGGTTCACCCCTCCGGTTGGGGATGCTGAGAGTGAGAGAGCTACACATGTGTGGAGCAAGGAGTATGGGACATCTCTGTACTTTCAGCTCAATTTTGCTGTGAACCTAAAACTGCTCTAAAAGATAAAATCTAGTAAAAAAAGTATTTATTACTTCCCCAAACTTTTAAATATATCTTTTGTGTTTAACCTTATTACTTACATAGATGGAACAATTTTCTGTTCAAGGTTCTGCTCATAATCATTATATTGAAACATAACATGATAAAAATATATTATAGAAAAATACCATATATTGGAAATATATTCTTGAAAATACAGAATACATTACTTATAACGTATGCTTGTTGGCCCTCATGATCCTAAAAGTTATAGCACATTTAAATGTATGTGACTTATGGTTCTTTTTAAAATAAAGCTACTGAGAACAGTCAAATGGTGATAGATCAGTCAAAGCTGCTTTGCGTCCATTTTGTTCAGACTCATTTCAATTCATTCTTCAACAAATATTTCTAAAAGCAACTGTACTAAGAGCTTGGAATAACATGAATGTACAAAACGGTTAAAGATCTCTGCCCCGTGGAGCTTATATTCAAGTAATTCTAATTGACTCGTGCTTTCATTTTCTTTGTTTTTCTCTTTGTATACTGAAGAGGATAAATTTCATATTCAAGCTAATCTGTTCCTCCCAAATGGTAACAGTGCAACACTGGCCAAGCTGATTCAGACAGCACAGCTTCCCGGTGTCTGCAGGGCTGGACCAAAGAGAAGAGTCTTCCGCGGGTGCTAGAAAAGCGAAGCACGCGTTACCATGGAGACTGCGGAATGGAAAAGCGTTCGGTTTCTTGTTTCCTAGCCGCGAATGGGGTCGTGGTTCCTTCGACCTCGCCTGGGGAGAAAGGGGACGGAGGGCTTCGGGCTATACTTGGGCCACACAGCCGGGAAGCTGAGGCCGCGGGGCAGGTCTGCGTGGCGGCGTCGAGTCCGAGCGGGGAAGCCCCTTTGCGGGAACTCTGGGGCGGGGCGGGGCGGGGAGGTGGGTAGGGAGGGTCCCGCCAGCAGAGGCATCTTATTTTTAACCTCTTCTCGGCTGTTTTTCTCTCGTCCATTTGCTCTCCTCCTTTAAGCCATCCTTTAATATTAAACATTAAAAAATATATTTGGCAAACATTTGAATAGAGCGCGCTTATTCTGGGTCAGGTGTCGTTTTAAATGCTTTATGTGTGCTAACTCATTTAATTCTCAAACAATCCAATGGGGTAAGTATTATCATTATCCCAATTTTTAGATAGGCCTGGAGAAGATAATAAACTTGCCAACAGTGTCACAGCTGGTAAGTTGAGGGTGGGAAACCCCGGCCTAACACATATATTTTCTTTTTATGTTCTGTAAGGATTGGGATCCTTTTCATTTTATTAGACAGAAAAGGACAGTTAGCACTGTCATTGAACCCTCAACATGGTATGATCTCTTGAGAAGATTAAGCAGCCATTTGGTGGCAGATTGATCACTTTGAACCCTTTCTATTAATACCTTGCAGTGGGCAGAGACTCATCCTTATAGGGATTTGTATGTATTCCAGGTATAATTTTGCTTCCCTGTCTCCAATGCCCCTGCTAATACTACCCAAGGACTCACAATGTCTGATGTACTGACATGGAACCTTGCCTTACATCTCAGACCAAGGGACTCACTTTACTGTGAAGGATGTGTTACAAAGGGCACATGATCATGGGATCTACTGGTCCTACCTTATTCTATATTACACAGAAATGGCAGCCTGTTTTTCCCCAGCTTTGCCAACATAATAATTAGCAAAACTTTTTAATTATATGATAATATATTTCAGGAAGAAAACACTGACAACCGTGAAATTCAAACTAGATAGTAGAGAAACTGGAATTGGGGAGACCAGTTAGAAAGCGGTTTGGAAACAAAGATACACATGAGTTTTAAAGCTGTGGGCTAATGTAGATGTTGATGTGATTATAAGTCTCT
Organism: Homo sapiens; assembly: GCF_000001405.40. Lineage (NCBI taxonomy): Eukaryota > Metazoa > Chordata > Mammalia > Primates > Hominidae > Homo > Homo sapiens. Next base: position 278,315 of record NT_167244.2, read on the forward strand.
GTTAAAAGAGTTAGGGTGAGGTTTGAGGTGGTTTTAGATTATTATTTTTGCTAAAGAACCCAGAAATGACTAAGTTTATCCCTGTCAATCACTTCTGACACTCTACTCATATCATGTTCCTAAGGAAGTTGAACAAAAGGAGCGATAGCCAAATGGGACTAACTATAATAGCTAATATTTATTGAGTACTTATTAATACTGTACTAAAGATATTGTGTGCTACATTTTACTTAATATTCTATGGGGCAATAAGCAGAACTATTCAGAAATGATCCTGGGATCTCACTCTAGATTGCCCAGGAAATGTGCTAGCTACAACTGGAGTTTCCCGTTCCTCTTGGAAAGAGGGGCTGCACCTACGTATAGCTTTGCATGAGACCAGCTGCTTACACTTTCTAACACGAAGGGGCTGCAACTGTCCATAGGATGCATGGTCTCCAGGTGTTGGGCATCTGGTCCTCAGATGCTTCCTCAGCTCTGCTAGCATCTAAACCCAGACTGCCCGGCAATCAAGTAGTCTGCTTGTTGTCTTACTGAAAAGTGGTGTTCAAGTTTATCCTTGACAAGATAGAATAATTGGGTCAGGACCAGAGCCCCAACCTATTGCATGTGAAATGGCTTGTTCTTGCCCCTGGTTCACCTCTCCATGGGATTATGAGAGGATTGAGAACTCTATGCCTCTTGTGCCTGACTCTTGCTTTCTAAGTTTCCCCAGTAAATCTTATTCCCATTCCTTCGTTCATACTATGTGATGTTGTAGAATTTATTGCAAGGCCCATTGTACCACATCCTTGCAGCAAATTTATGACTCAGAAATTACTATTTCTATCTTAGAGATGAGGAATATGAGACAGAAAAAGTCACATAGCAGGTAGGTGGTAGGATTTGAAACCAAGTCATCTAGTTCCTGAGCCCATGATCTCAAAAACTTTGTTAAACTAAATGGAACTACTAATTTATAAAGAGCTAAGTGAGTGCTCAGATAATCAAATAATCACCCATGGAGAAGTTCAAATCTCTTGCAGAAGTTCAGATCTCTGTTGGAGCATGTAGCCTAGATTTAACCTCCAGTGGTGCCTTTAACTTTGTCCTAAGTCTTAGGCTTGTGTCAACTGCTGGCCAGCTACATGGAGGAAATAAGTTGAGAAAAAGCAGGAAGCAACATGGCTGGGTCTACAGAGAAGATCCAAGTTTAGCTGTCTCATGCTCTTTGGGCCCAGAGGAGAGGAAAAGCAAGACAAAGTCTTAAACTTTCCACCAGATATCAAGACCTTGTTGATGTCCTAGAACATGACCAATCAGATTAATGATGGCTCTACCTGGGAAGAGTAGCTGAGAAAGGATTAAGTTGAGGCAGGCCTGGTGTGGGCAGATGTTGTTGAATGTTTCCCACTACCCCTTCCAGCCCACTGGAAGAATGGGTTTTTTAAAAAAACATACACTCAAGATGAGCTCTATTAGTCATTTCCTCATCTCACTTATTATTCCAGTTAAACCAAGGCTGAAGGACAGAAAGATCACAAACTTATTAATCTCTGGACAAACCTAGCTCAGGGCCAGAATCAGGAGGGTGAATCTCAGGAGGCTGTAACCCAACTGATTGCAAATAGGATTTTGGAATAACAGTTTCTGAGGTGTCACAAAGAACTGTCAGCCCTTGTGTCTGTTCTCTAATAGAATTTTTACTTTCTTCTATGATCCCAAATTTCATAAACTCATACTATAACTAGGAAGTAGGCAGAAATGTCCTTTTGATGAACCAAATAATCAGAAACTTTTCTAATAATCCTCTTTGTGTATTTTTCCAGCCACAGAACTGAGTCATTCATTACCCAAAGCTAAACCCTGCCTACATGGTAACGCTTTTGTAAATGGGATTCTTTCTCTCTGACATCCCTTTTTCCTGCAGTCCCTTATACCCTCTCAATACCAGTGTGGCTCAAGGGGCCTTCAGTTCTGTCCTAATTCAGTCTCACATTCAAGCTGCACCTCCTTAGGCACCAGAATGCGAGAGAAGGTTGTTCCTTCAGGGAATATTTTCTTTTGGCAGGGCCATGTCACTGAGTCAGGCTTACTAATTATGTCCCAAGGTGGGCTCAGCCTCTGGCCCTTCAAGGAGCTTAGAGAGCTCTGGAGAGCTAAAGGACGCAATTCCACTCAGTTCCCCTAGGGACTTGTTTTGTTACGACCCTGTAGCGGTTGCCGCCAGCCTCCCGTCCCCGGACAGCGCGCCTCTTTCCTCCGCGCGGAATCTCGCCTTGCCGAGAGGTGACAGCGTGGTGCCAGGCCTCGCTCGCTCTCCGCGCCTCCTCGGCCTCGGCGCCCACTCTGGCCGCGCTCGAGGAGCCCTTCAGCTTGCCGCTGCACTGTGGGAACCCCTCTCTGGGCTGGCGAGGCCGGCTCCCTGTTTGCGGGGAGGTGTGGAGGAAGAGGCGGGAACTCTCTTGCGGGCCAGTGCGAGTTCCGGGTGGGCGCGGGTTCCGGGGGCCCCACACTCGGAGCGGCCGGCCGGCGCCACCGCTCCGGGCAGTGAGGGGTTTAGCACCCGGGCCAGCAGCTACGGAGGGGGCGCTGGGTCCCCTACCGCTGCCGGCCCACCCGCGCCGCGCTCGCGTGCTTCAGCCGCCTCCTCGCGGGGCAGGGCTTGGGACCTGCAACCTGCCATGCCCGAGAATTCGCGGTGGGCTCCTGCGCCGCCGGAGCCTCCCCGACGATTGCCGCCCCCTGCTTCACGGCTTCCCGTCCCATCCACCGCCCAAGGGCTGAGAAGTGCGGGCGCACGGCGCGCGGGACTGGCGGGCAGCTCCGCCTGCGGCCCGGGTGCAGGATCCACCAGGTGAAGCCAGCTGGACTCCTGAGTCTAGTGGCGACTTGGAGAACCTTTATGTCTAGCTAAGGGATTGTAAATATACCAATTAGCACTCTGTATCTAGCTAAACTGGTGGGGACTTGGAGAACCTTTATGTCTAGCTAAGGGATTGTAAATACAGCAATCAGCACTCTGTGTCTAGCTCAAGGTTTGTAAACAAACCAATCAGCACTCTGTGTCTAGCTAATCTGGTGGGGACTTGGAGAACCTTTATGTCTATCTAAGGGATTGTAAATACACCAGTCAGCACTCTGTGTCTAGCTCAAGGTTTGTAAATACACCAATCAGCACTCTGTGCCTAGCTCAAGGTTTGTAAATGCACCAATCAGTGCTCTGTGTCTAGCTAATCTAGTGGGGACTTCGAGAACTTTTGTGTCTAGCTCAGGGATTGTAAACACACCAATCAGCACCCTGTCAAAACGGACCAATCGGCTCTCTGTAAAATGGACCAATCAGCAGGATGTGGGTGGGGCCAGATAAGGGAATAAAAGCAGGTTACCGGAGTTGGCCATTGTAATTTGTTTTGTCCTGTTTCACATTGTGGTGGTTTTATTTTTTACTATTAGCTGCTTGGATCTGCATTTTGTTTTGTGAGGTGTAACACTGTGAGGGCCTGTAGTTTCACTCTTGAGGTCAGCGAGGCCACGAACCCACCTGGAAAAACAAACAGTTCCAGATATGCCGCCTTAAGAGCTGTAACACTCATTGTAGAGGTCTGCGGTTTCACTTCTGAAGCTAGCTAGTCGACGAACCCACCAAAAGGAACAAACTCCAAACACGTCTGACTATCAGAAGGAACAAACTCCAGACACGTTTTTTAGAACTAACACCCTGAGGGTCTGCAGCTTCATTCTAGAATCATGCCAAGAACTCACAAATTTCTGACACATTGCTTTTCCGCAGGAGGTTGCGGGAAGACGTACAAGGAAGGGTCGGGATGGTGCTTGAGGTGGTCAGAGCCACACCCAGGGCTGCATTCTCATCAGAGACACCTCTAAGTTACTGCGAAGTCGGAGACACCAGAAAGGAAGACTCCAACGTATTCCGAGAGGAGTGGAGGCAAATGGGATAGACTAGCCCTCCCGCCCGGGATCCCGCGTCTCGGGGAACGGAGACCCGGGCACACGCCACTTGCTTGCTGGGAGGTTCCTTACAAGTTACATAGAGGGGGAGCTTTTCCTGGCCAAACGTGGGTTATTCTCGTTCTCCCTTCCCCACACTGTCGCAGAGGAGGAAGACGTCTTGGTCGCCGTTAAGAGCTAAAACGAACGCCAAGGCTCTAAGTGGCCCTGGGGTCCAGGCTCGCCGGAGGCACCAGCGTGTGCAGGCCCGGAGCGCCGTCTTCTGGGCGAGGAGTGTCATTAGTAACACTTTATGTTGCGGATAGGTGAAAGAAAAACTGACGCTTCGGAGATGGGGGTGCCCAAAGAGGAAGAGAGAACAGCGATTAGGGCCTTAAACCTCACACCCGAACAAATTCGGCCGGAGTTACTGAGCGGCAGGCTCTCTGATGGAGATGGGTGCTTTCAGACTTAAGACGTGAAAACAAAGATCAGCCACTCATGAACGAACTCAAGGCTCACTGAGATGCAACTGCCATGAAGAAGTGGGTGCAGGGTGAGAGGTCTGTCTACCTCCTTAGAAGGACCACTGTGGCTTGTGCAGAGATCCGAAGTTTGTTCTCATTACAATGGGGACGGTGAGTGCTAGTAATGTGGACCATTTTTCAATAGCGCCACCTTGTGGCAGTGACAAAATGGCCGTAGTGGACTTGGGCTCAGGTGCTTTCTTGAGTGTGCAAACTGGTAAGAACTAATTTTTTGAATCAGATTTGGGGATTATTCAGGCAGAAGGGGATCCCTAAATGGAAACACTGACATTTTAATACTGCAAGTGGGGGATGATGAACAGACAAATAACAAGCAATGGGGGGCCACATTTGTGTTCAGAATTCATGGAACTTTTTTTTTTGATTTTTCTATTTCTCATTTTTTTAATGTATGTATTTTGAGGGTACATGTAATATTTTGATACATAACGTATAAAGGTCAAAGATAAGGATAATTTGTGTGTGTGTGTATATATATGTATAAACTTAAATGTCCTTTTTGCTTGGAACGTTCAAATTTTTTTCTAGTTATATCTAAATATATATCAAGCAATCTTTTAGATATTTTGAAATGTCTAACATTATTTTGAGACAGAGTCTAGCACTGTCACCCAGGCTGGAGTGCAATGGCGTGATCTCGACTCACTGCAACCGCTGCCTCCTGGGTTCAAGCGATTCTCCTGCCTCAGCCTCCCAAGTAGCTGGGATTACAGGCATACGCCATCACACCGGGCCAATTTTTATATTTTTAGTAGAGGCGGGGTTTCACCATGTTGGTCAGGCTGGTCTTGAACTCCTGACCTCGTGATCGGCCACCTCTGCCTCCCAAAGTGCTGGGATTACAGGCGTGAGCCACCGCGCCCAGCCAGAAGTGTCTAATAGATTATAGTCACCCTACTGATCTATTGAACTCTGGTTGTCTTTCTTCTACCTAATTGTATACTTATACCGTTTAACCAACCTCTCTTTATCCCACGTCTTCCCTCCTCTTTCCAGGCCCTGATAACCACCATTGTACTCCCTAGCTTCATGAGATCTTCTGTTTTAGCTCCCACATAGGAGTGAGAACATGCAGTATTCATGAATCACACTCATCATGAGCGATCTTCTTGGTTGTTGAATTGGGGTTGCTAGTTATTTTGAGAATTTTTGTATCTATGTTCATCAGGGATTTTGGCCTGTAGTTTTGTTTTTGATTTGATTTCTGACACAGATTTTGCTGTATCCTTGTCTGGTTTTCACATCAGGGCAATGCTGGCCTTGTAGAATGAGTTTAGAGGAATACCCTCCTCTTCAATTTTTTTTAAAAGAGTTTGAGTAGAATTGGTATCAGTTCTCTAAATATTTGCTAGAATTCAGCAGTGAGGCCATAATGTCCTGGGCTTTTCTTTGATGAGAGACTTTATTAAGGCTTCAATTTCATTACTCATTATTGGTTTGTTAGGGTTTCTATTCATGGTTCAATCTTAGTACGTTGTATATGTTTAATAATTTATCCATTTTTTCTATGTTTTCCAATTTGTTGGTGTATAGTTGTTCATATTCTCTGATTCTTTGTATTTTTGTGGTCTGTTATATCTCTTTTTTTTTCTTTCTGATTGATTTATTTGGGTTTCTCTTTTTTAGTCTAGGGAAAGGTTTGTTAATTTTGTCTATCTTCAAAAAATCAACTTTTCATTTCATTGATCAAATGTATTTATGTTTTAGTTTCAATTTCATTTATGTCTGTTCTGATATTTATTTCTTTCTACTAATTTTGGATTTGGTTCATCCTTGCTTTTTTGAGTTCCTTGAGATCCATTTTTAGGTTGATTATTTGAAGTCTTTTCCCTTTTTTGATGTAGGTGTTTATTGCTATAAAGTTATTGTTATGCTGTATTCTGTAGGCTTCGGTATGTTGTATATCTATTTTCACTAGTTTCATGAAATTTTTAAAATTTTCTTAGCTTATTCATTGACCCATTGGTTGTAGGAGCATGTTGATTTCCATGTGTTTGTATAGTTTCCAAGGTTCCTCTTGTTGATTTCTGGTTTTATTCCATTGTGATCAGAAAAGATACTTGATATAATTTTTACTTTTTTGAATTTGCTGAGACTTCTTTTGTGACTTAAGATATGGTCTGTTCTGGAGAATGTGCCATGTGCAAGTGAAAAGAATGTGTACTCTGTAGCAGCTGGGTGAAATGTTCTATAAATGTCAGGCCTACTTGGTCTAGTGTGTAGCTTAATTCCAATGTTTCTTTATTGATTTTCTCCCTGGATAATCTGTTACTGAAAGTGAGGTGTTGAAGTCCCTACTATTATTATATTGGAGCCTATCTCTCCCTTGAGATTTATTAATGTTTGTTTTACATATTTGGATGCTCTGGTGTTGGGTGCACAGATATTTATAATTTTTAATATCCTCTTGATGAATTGACCCCTTCATCATTATATAGTGACCTTTTGTCACTTTTTACATTCCTTGACTTGTAGTCTGTTTTATCTGATATAAGTATACCTAATCCTGTTCTCTTTGATTTCCACTTGCATGGAATATCTTTTTCCATAAATTCACTTTCAACTTATGTATGTCCCTATAGGCAAGGTGGGTTCTTGTAGCACCACATAGTTGGGTCTCGTCTCTTTACCCATTTAACTTCTATACATCTTTTAATTGGAGAATTTGGTCCATTTATATTCAGTGTTATTATTGATAAGTAAGGACTTATGACTGCCATTTTGTTGCTTGTTTTCTGGTTGTTTTGTAACGTCTTTCTTCCTTTATTCTTTTGCTACTGTATTTCTTTGTGGTTAAGTTATTTTCTCTGGTAGAATGCTTTAATTCACTGCCTTCTATTTTTAGTGTATTAATTACAGATTTTTGCATTGGGGTTACCATGAGGCTTACAAAACATATCTTATAGCTACTTTGTTTTATTATTACTTATTATTCTGATACAGGGTCTCTGTCACCCAGGCTGGAGTGCAGTGGTGAGATCTTGGCTTACTGCAGCCTCTACCTTATTGAACTCAGGCAATCCTCCTACCTCAGTCTCCTGAGTAGCTGATACCATAGACACATGCCACCATAGCCAGCTAAGTTTTGTATTTTTTGTAGAGATGAGGTTTTGCCATGTTGCCCAGAGTGGTTTTGAACTCCTGAGCTCAAGTGATTAGCTAGCCTTGGCCTCCCAAAGTGCTGGGATTACAGGCATGAGCCATGGCGCGCAGCTGATATTTTACAAAGATGACAACTTAACTTTGATCACAAAGAAAAGACTAGAAACAAACAAAAAAACTTAAATAACCCCCACAAAACCCTGCCCTTTAACTCTATACCCCTACATCTTGACTTTTTGTTGTCTCGGTTTACATATTTTTATATTGTCTATCTCTTAGCAGGTCACTGTAGCAATTATTGTTTTTGATAGGTTTGTCTTTTAGATTTCATACTACAGTTATAAATGGATTGCACACCACAATTAGAGTATTAGAGTATCCTGGGTATGTCTTGTACTTAATGTTACCAGTGGTTTTTTTCCTCAAATATTTTCTTTATGCATGTTAGCATCTTTTTCTCTTAGATTGAAGGACTTCATTTGCCATTTATTTTAAGATAGGCCTGGTGGTAGTGAATTCTCAGCTTTTGTTTGTCAAGGAAAGATTTTATGTCTTCTTCATGTTTGAAGAATAGCTTTTCTGGTACATTAATCTTGGATGGCGGTTTTATTTCTTTTAGCACTTTGAAAATGCCATCCCACATCTACCTGGCCTGTATAGTTTCCATTGAGGAGTCTGTTGCCAGAATAATTGGAGCTCTTTGTATGTTATTTACTTCTTTTCTCTTGCTGCTTTTATTTTTTATTTTATTTTATTTTTTTTGAGACTGAGTTTTACTCTTGTCACCCAGGCTGGAGTGCAATGGTGCTATCTCGGCTCACTGCAACCTCTGCCTCCCGGGTTCAAGCGATTCTCCTGCCTCAGCCTCCTGAGTAGCTAGGATTACAGGCACCCACTACCATGCCCCACTAATTACTGTATTTTTAGTGGAGACAGGGTTTCACCATGTTGGCCAGGCTGATCTCGAACTCCTGACCTCAGGTGATCCACCTGCCTTGGCCTCCCAAAGTGCTGGGATTATAGGCATGAGCCATGGTGCCCAGCCAACTTTTGTAATCCTCTTTGTCCTTGACCTTTGAGAATTTGATTATTGTATGTCTTGGGGTGGTCTTATTTGGGTTGAATCTGTTTCATGTTCTCTAATCTTGTACCTAGATACTTATATATTTCTTAAGTTTGGAAAGTTTTGAGTTATTTCTTTGGATAAGCTTTCTAATTTTTGCTCTTTCTGAATTCCCTCTTGAGCACCAATCATTCTTAGATTTGTCCTTTTGAGGTACTTTTCTATATTATTTAGGTGATCTTCATTCCTTTGTATTCGTTTCCCTTTTTTCTCCTCTAACTGTATTTTCAAATAGCCTGTCTGAGTTTACTAATTCCTTCCACTGTCTGATCCATTCTGCTGTCGAGAGTCTCTAATAAATTTTTCAGTTTGACAAGTATATTTCTCAGTTCCAAGATTTTTGTTTGATTTTAAAAAATTATTTTAATCTCTTTGTTAAATTTCTCTGATAAATTTTTGAATTGCTTTTGTGTGTTATCCTTGAGTTCACTGAGTTTCTTTAAAACTGCTATTTTGAATTCTTGGTGAGAGAGCTCACATACCACTGTCTTGCCTAGGGTAAGTCATTGGTTCCTTGCTTTGTCTGTTTGGGGAAGTCATGTATATTAGTCTGTTCTCACACTGCTATACAGAAACACATGAGACTGAGTAATTTATAAAGAAAAGAGGTTTACTTAGCTCATGGTTCTGCAGGCTGTACAGAAAGCATGACAGCATCTACTTTTTTTTCGCCCTCTTGGTCTTGCCTTCTTTCTGACATCACATGGAGTCTGCAGTCCAGGTTTTCCTTGGCCCTAGTAAATGACTGGAGCACTGCCGGACCCAAATGTAGAAGGTCTTACGGGGGATATCCCAATAGGGTGGGAAGTCTGGCTAGAATTTCGTGCTCAGGGAACCTGTGGAACATACCTCCTATGGTGTGTCGCTGCTGACCAGCTTCGCTGATTTGGCGTCTCCTTTGGCTGAGTTAAAGAAGAGTGTTTCTAGGGTTGGGGAAGGAAGTCCCACCTCCCCACTTTTTCTCTGGTTGTCTTTGGGAATATTTCTCCCTTTAAGTACTTAGGGACAGATCTCTTGCCAGGGAATCCAAGATGGTGGGGAAACTGGTTATCCACTTCAATCTCACTTTTTCCAGTGTAGAAACTGGCGGTGAGGTGGGGGAAGTTTTCCACATGCTTGGTGCTAGGCAGATTTGGGAGAGGGATGTCACGGATTTGGAAGTCTGATTCTTACAGCGTCTGCTTGAAGTTTTTTACTTCTTTGTTGCCACGGGCACTGTTCCATCTTCATATTTGAGTTCTGGGATATTGCTGGTGATAATCTCAGCACCGTGTATTTGTTGTAGGTTTTCTGTGGAGGAAAAATAAAGCCAGCTTCCTTATATGCAGCCATTTTGGAACCAAACTCTCACACATTCCATGGAACATTTCTAGCCAGCAAGGTACAATGACTAGCAAGGAAACAAACTTTTTTTTTCCTTCAGTATTTCAGTTGACTCACAAGAACATGAAATGTGACCTATCTTTTCATGTGGCCAACTTTAAATGTTAACTTAATATCTTAGATAAAAATAGTTTAAAATACACATCCATTTAAGTTAAAAAGAATAATTTAAAGTTTTATTATTCTTTGATAGTTTTTCTTTTGATGCTACACCTAGTGACTACCATATTTTAAAACAGACATGTTCTAATTGCTCTTGAATCTTCAACTCGAAAGAAACTATGGTTTTATAAATTAGTGATAACAGTGAGTGTCCTCTTTAAAAAATATCTGCCATTTCTGACAAATGACAAATAGCTGATATTATTTTTTCTTAAAAGGAACTCTATTCTTTTAACATACAGTCTCTCTTGTTTAATAAAACTGAAAGTAAAGAATAGATAGAAATAGTCCTACCTCAGTTCAGGTCAGGTTTTGTTGCCAACAGAGTTATGAAAACTTTTAGTTTTCTACCTGGGTGTGGTAGCTCTCACCAGTAATACCAGCTACTTGAGAGAACTGCTTGAGGCCAGGAGTTTGAGACCAGCTTGGGTAACATAGTGAGACCCTGTCTCAAAGAAAAAAAGGAAAGCTTTTAGTTTTCTGACCATTTTATTTTTGTTTATTTTAATTTTTTTATTTCAATAGGGTTTTGGAGGGACAGGTGGTGTTTCCTTACATGAATAAGTTCTTTAGTGGCGATTTCTGAGATTTTGGTGCACCCATCATTTGAGCAGTGTACACTGTACACAGTGTGTAGTGTTTTATCCCTCACCAGCCCCCACCCTTTTCCCCGAGTCCCCAAAGTCCAATGTATCGTTCTTATGCCTTTGCATTTCTGACCATTTTAGATTCAGAATTATGGATAAGGGATTTTCAGCCTATACTGATCATGTCTAGAAGTTCTGTTTGTTTCTTTAAAAAAAAGTTCATGTAGCAGCAGATAACTAATACAACCAGAAATAAATGAGATATTGTTTCCTCAAATTCTTTTTTTTTTTTTTTGAGATGGAGTCTTGCTCTGTTGCCCAGGCTGGAGTGTAGTGGTGCAATCTCGGCTCACTGCAACCTCTACCTCCTGGGTTCAAGCCATTCTCCTGCCTCAGCCTCCGGAGTAGCTGGGACTACAGGTGCCCACCACCACGCCCAGCTTACTTTTTCTATTTTTAGTAGAGATGGGGTTTCACCATATTGGCCAGGCTGGTCTTGAACTCCTGACCTTGTGATCTGCCCACCTCAGGCTCCCAAAGTGTTGGGATTACAGGCGTGAGCCACCATGCCCAGTCACAAATTCTTGATACTATATTATGTTATTGTTACCAGGCAAAAGGGGCTCACTGCTGGATGTGCTAGAAGCTAATACTATGACACTGGATTTCTAAGAAAAGAAAAGCTCTTTATTATAGGTTGACCAATAAGGAGACAGGAATCTAGCTCAACTGTATCTCCCTGTGCTGGCTTTAAGATAGTAATTTTATTAGAAAAGGTTTGCGGGTGGATTCTGGGATTAGCAGGTGGTTGGTGGAAGGAAAAGGGAGGTCTAGAAAGTCCTCAAATGCACAGTTATCTCCATTCCTCTTCATGGGTCCCACATGCAAATTCAAAGGGAGTTAGTATGAAACATGCAGTGGAAATCGGGCTGTGACATTAACAAGCTTGTTCTGTGCAAACTCCATTTGGTCATGTTGGTTCCAACTAATTTTGGACACTCTTGTTATCTCACAAATGGAGGGAATTTCAGCGTTTCAGCAAGTTATTTATTTTCTTATCTGCTATCTGGCAAACTCAAGATTTCTGTTAGTTATTGGTTTCCTATTCTTTGGGGCACAATTTCAGTTTCAACTTTTCAGCAAGTTGTTTCTTTTTTTATATACTATCCTATAAACTCAAGAATTTTATCATTAAAAAAACTCTTTGGGGCATGATTTTTTCATCAAACTTAAAAAAAAAATCCCCAATATAACAGAGAATTTCCAGCATTTTAACCTGAAACTGAAGACCATTACTGAATGCAGTTTTCAATTGCCAATCTAGAAGTTTACTAATTCTGTGTATTGGATGTGCATATCCTTGTCAATCATTTTGGCCTAAGGGAGTCTTTCTTTTAATCATCTTTTCAAATAGGAAAAAGCACCAAATTAAGTGTTTTCTCAAACTTTTTCATTATAGTTATTTCATTTCTAACAAAATTTTAGTGCCACAGTTATATTGTGTAACTGCTTATGTACAGAGGCTCTTTGGAGGACCACCAACCATTGTAATACCAAAGATTTTTGCTACCTCCCCTTGAATCAATTTTGCCCCTGTGGGGATGATATCATCCCTGATATGAAGGCATATATTGAGAGAAATAAGACAAACTATTAAACCAAATTTTAATAGATGACAGTACTTTAAAAGAAAATTAATTTAAAAATTTAGTCATTTCTGGGATAAGATAATGAGCAATTTCTTTTATTTCTCTTATTTTCTAGTTTCCATTATGTACTTATATATACCTCTAGGGGATGTTGTAAAGATTCTATAATATTATGTATGTATTCTATAATATGTATGTGAAAGAAAAACTGTATCTTTTCCTTTGCTAACTCATAGATGTTTAAATATATTACATTTTAGGTGTTAGATGATTTATATATCTTCAGTGTTAACACAAACTGAAGATATTGCTCTAATATTCATCACCCAATGAGAATTTGTGATATTCTGCAGATTTGGTAACATTTTCATGGAGATTTAATAAAAAACATTGACATATTCATTCTACAGACATTTATTGGCTATGTAATTCATGTCAGAAACTGATTCGACACAGCAAAATCACGTGAATAAGAAGGTCTATATTGTTGAAAAGCTTACCAATGCATCTTCTTCAAACACACATACAAACAACTAAATAAAAATGGGATAATGCCCTATACTTATATGGTCAGGGTTTTCAAGGACTATAGACCATAGACTGATGAGATTCATAAATACTTTTCAGTTGAGACAAGATTTCAGCAGGGTATGAAGGTTGAATAGAAGGTTTTTAAGTGATAAATGCCTAGCAAGATTTAGGATCACTCATTTTTAACAAAGGAAAATTGATACTCTTTTTTAGTGGCCACAATTTTATCATTCTATACTTTTGTCTTTCTTCCATAGTCCTTATGACACCATGAAGTTTACAGTGTCTTCATGCTTTCCTTATCCTGATTTCACTGTCCTCTCTCATATTTTTTTATGTTTACCAAGGTATGTACAACTGACAATTTTAGAGTCATCTGCAAAGAAAAGATAACTATTAGGTACTGGGCTTAACACCTGGGTGATGCAATAAGATGTATAATAACCCCCCATGACACGTGTTTATGTAACCTTCACATGTACCCCCAAACCTAAAATAAAAGTAAAAGAGGAATCAAAACCTTGAAATAAAGGTATGATGTTCTTGCTGTGGAAATTTAGAAGCCACAGGGTTTAAGGATTGTAGAGACATCATAAGCCCTATTACTCCCATCTTCCTACTCAATTACTTCATGTAAGCTGTGGCTTACTCTGTCTTTGAAATGACATAGCAAGGGCACTATAGATATGGGGAATCTTTCACTTGCAGAGAGGATTTTCAATCTCTGAAATGGCTGATTTGCAGAGAAGTGGAGTCGTTTATTCTCTAGCACAGGGATTTCCAGATTTTGAATGTATTTACCAGTAAAACAAAGTAAAGCAAAGTAAAAACATAAGCTTGCTAAATTTTCTTTTGTCATTTAAGAGCACCAAGCTTTGAGCGTGAATGTGCTTTGGATAAATGAATTGATTTCACTTCTCTTGATAAATGCCAATATTTCTTTAGTGCTCTACATTCTACTTTTTTCCATCTAATTCATGATTCTGCTGAAGATTTTTTCATCCACAGTATTCTCTTCAGTGCACTCTTTACATCTTTGTTTCTTAAAGTGTAGATGGGAAGGTTAAGGCTGGGTGTGATGATTGTGTAAAAGAGTGAAGAACTTCCCTTCATCTTGGGATATGGTATTCTGTGGCTTCATGTATATATAAATGATTGTTCCATAAAACAGAATTACTACTGTGAGGTGGGAGCCACATGTATTAAGGATCTTTTGCAACCTTGTTGCTGACTTGATCCTCATTACAGCTTGAGTGATAACTCCATATGAGATAAGAATTAGTGATAGAGGTACGAAAAGAAATACCACTCCGAAAGCAAAGACAACAATCTCAATTACTTTTGAATAGACACAAGCCATCTTGATCAATGCTGGCATCTCACAGAAAAAATTATCCACTTCCCGGTGCCCACATCTTGGCAACTTCAAAGTCAAGGAGCAAACAATTAAGGCACTGGCAAGACCACTCAACCAGGCAGTGGCAAAGCTGAGGGTGCATTTTAAGGTGTAGTGAAGAGGTTGACAGACAGCAGCATAACGATCATAGGCCATCACAGCCAACAGAAGACATTCTGTGGCTCCCAAGTCAAGGACAAAAAAGAATTGGAGTACACACCCTCCATAAGTAATAGATTTTTTTGGGCCCCATTGATTTGCCAGCATCTGGGGGATAATGCTAGTTGTATAACAGAGGTCCAAGAAAGACAAATTGGATAAGAAAAAATACATGAAGGTATGGAGCTGGGTGTCTAGATAAGATACAAGAATGATGGTTGTATTTCCTACCAGAGTCACAATATAGATGATGAAGACAACCACTGAGATGATGTGCTCTAATTGGGGTCGATCAGAAAACCCCAGAAGGATGAAATCTGTTCCAGAACTTACACTGCTTGTTTCCATTGTTCCTTAAGAAAAGCTAGCAGGCAATATCATGGTAACCAAAAATAGTGTCAGGTTTAGGTAGAACTGAAAATCTCTGAAGTTTCTCAAGGGTATCCAAAACTCTCTTATTTGCATGCTCTCTCTCATTTGGAACATCTCTTTTAACATTTCCCTATGGCCCAGTGCTCACAACTTGTTCATATTTAATCCAAAATTAATAATATGCTAAATCCAATCAGGCTGAATTGTAAATCATTGAAAAAACTTAATTTGCTATGTCATTCATTGTTCTATGTATTTCAATTAAGTAATAAAATCATGAAGTCAATTATGTGATTTTAAGAGAGGCATATGTATTGAGGAGTTGTTCCTCTTTGAAGCTATGACATAAGCATCACTTGATCATGATAAATCCTTGCATTATTGAAGGAGTTAAGCTTGAGGTAAAAAGTTAAATGACATCTTTTTTTGGAATAAACTCCACCATTTGATAGCAGAATCACTTTCAATATTTACTTGCAAATATCTACATTTCAGCCATTATAATTATAATTATCCTCACCACCAACTTACTCCTCCTCCTTATATTTTTTTTACCCCTCAACATTGCAGGCACTGTTGTTATTCTATCAATTTTGGTGTTCCCTACTACACTGCCTTTTTTTGTGAGTGTGTTTTTTGTTGCCAGGAAATAATTATCTTTCTTATTAATATTTACTTACATGTATAAAGGCCTATATGTTTTTTAAACAGCTTTAATGACTAATATTACACCATCTAAACAGCCTTACTGATTTGTTGCAGTTAAATATTGAGGTAATTCCAGAACTATTTGGCCACCACGTACAACGATCTGTGTCCAATCCTACTTACCAGCCATTCAGCAGAATTAGCTGGGCGCTGGGCAGGTAATTCAAACAAAAAGCAGTTCATTAAATAGCCAGAGTTGTTTTAATCTATGGAATTTACCAATCCAACATGAGTGGATGTTCTGATTGCTTTGAAATCCTTTAGGTAAAACCATCACCCCATTGGGCTCTAAAAGAATACAGATACAGATAAAAATGTCATCAATCTCACCATTTCTGATTATTGTATCATATCACTAAGTAGACAAAATATTTAATGACTGACTGAGTTAGTTTTTTTTTGTTGTTGTTGTTTGTTTTTTTTAAAGATAGATTCTTGCTCTGTTGGCCGGATGCAGTGGCTCATGCCTGTAATCCCAGCACTATGGGAGGTTGAGGTGGGCGGATCACTTGATGTCAGGAGTCCAGACCAGCATGGCCTACGTGGGGAAAAATTTTGTATTTTCTACTAAAAATACAAAAATTAGCTGGGCGGTGTGGTGCGTGCCTGTAGTCCCAACTACTTGGGAGGCTAAGGCAGGACAATTGCTTGAACCTGGGGGCGGAGGCCACAGTGAGCCGAGATCGCACCGCTGCACTCCAGCCGGGGCGACAGAACGAGACTCTTGTCTCAAAAAAACCAAACCAAACAAAACAAAAATCTTGCTCTGTTGCCTAGGCTGGAGTGCGGTGACACAGTGACAGCTCATTGCAGCCTGGACCTCCGGTGCTCAAGTGATCCTCTCAACTGAGCCTCCTAAGTAGCTGGGACCACAGATGCATGCCACTGTGTCCAGGTAATTTTTAAATGTTTTTGTAGTGATGAGGTCTCACCATGTTGTTCAGGCTGGTTTGGAACTCCTTGGCTCAAGCAATCCTCCTGCTTCGGCCTGAGCCCTGGTGTCGAGCTAATGGCTGAATTAGTTTAAACATTTTTTCTGCTGATAATTTCTGACCACGAAATTCAGACCTACCATACTTTACATTTATAGTGTCCTTGAGGCCATGGAATAGAAACCTCATTTGTTTCTGGTATATAGTAAAACAAGGGGAAGATAGATCATTTATATATGTCATTGTTATAAGTGTTTCAGTTAGAACAGAATAATGTTATAATCATAAAGAAGGAAATGTTATCAAGTAGTATGAGATAGAGGTGTAGTTTTTCACAGCACAAAAATGGAAATCTAATTAATAAGTGTCCAGTTTTTTTATTTTTCGCAATAGGTTGTCAACTAAGGAATGATAGTGCTTCATTGCACAGATTCTGAACTCAAAGTCCCTGGCATCAAATTCCAGCTTCACCACTTGGAAGCTGTATCCTTGGGCAATTATTTAACTTGTTTGTGTAGGAGGTTCTTTATACATGAAGAAAATATAATAAAATTTCCTTCCTCAAAGGGATGTTGTGAGGGTTAATATTTATAAAAGCACTTGGAACTGAGCTTGGTTCATCTTTAATTCTAAAAATGATAACCTATATTCACCTGTCATTGTTATTCTGTCTACCCCTTAGTCCATTAATTTTTCACACTAGTGATTTTACCGCAATGACCTAGAACTAAACTGGAATGTTTTTTAAAAAATTTGTGTAACTTTAAAATTTAGAAACATTTTTATATACACAAAAATATGCAGAATCACAATATGCACATTGAACTGAAAAGCTTCAGGAGCAGGAGATGACTTGAGGTCTCCAAATGCTTTGATTAAAAAATTCACTCAAATTCTTTTGACTGCTGTTGGGTTTGTGTTGGGAATTAAAAGGTCATGAATTTCAAAGTGGAAAAAAACCTCAGAAGTCATGAATCTAGCCTTCTGCTCTGCATAGGAGATCCTTCAACAGAATCGCTACACAGCTGCTACTGGCATAACTTCAGTGACAGGGAAGTCAATTACACTTGAAGCAGCCTCTCTCCTTTAGTCAATGCTGCTTATATTGAACTCAAAGATGATTCCTTGCCCAGCCCTGGCTGATTTTCTTTATTCTGAAAATAACACAGAGTAAGTCAATTTAACATGGCCTCATAAAAACCCCAGTATTATTATATGAACAGTGCATGGATACAACAAATAAAAAGTAAAGCTTGGTGAGTTTCAGTGTATATTCTTGTAACTATCACCTAAATCAATAAATAAAACATTGATGATTACCCTAGGAGCTTTTCTTTGTGCCTTTTACCAATGATAACTCTTCCCTATCCCCTGAAGTATCCACTATGCTGCTATTTATAGTAATCCCCTCTTTGCATGTTAGTAGGTTAATTACCCAAATGTGCACCTCTAGACAATATTGTATAGTTTGGCTTACTAAAAATTTTTTATATACCTTTTAACTCTCTTTTAATATTAGAAACTGTTACCAAATATATGCTTAGATTTCTCTTCCCAGACAAAGCACATTGTTAGCTGTTCCTACCACTACATGCTCTTTTATTACCATGCTTTTTCTTGTTGCTCTCCCTGGACACACCATGATTTGTCAAGTGCTGCAAATTAGTGAGTATAAAAGTAAGCACGATACTCCACTTATGCAACACTACTGAAGAGAATAGTGAATGTCTATGATCTGCATAATTTTCTAAAATATACGTTGGTTATTTTTAGCAGGTATAAGACATTACTGGCTCTCTTTAAACTTTGGATCACGTAAAGCCCTAGGCATTCTTATTAGAAATGCTGCCAAGTCAGGCATGACAATTTATGTAGTTTAATGTTGTGAACTCAAATACAGGACTTTTCATTTAATACTTTTTAACATTTTCATATTGATTTAAGCTTTGGATCTCAAACCAGATATTTTAATTTCAATTTAAAAGTGAATGTGTTATTTGAAATGAGACTTACAACACTCCAGCTGAAGAAATAGATGGCAAAAAAGAGGCATGCTACATTTTAATCGAAACTCAGTTTTTCATTTTTCATAGTATGGACTTCAGAGCCCAATAATCGCGCATAACTTAACATTTTGCTTTCTCCAGTGAAATCTGAGACAAATGAACCAAACATATTTCAACATAATTTATGATATTGAGAGAAAATTAGAAGCACAAAATTTCAAAACTGTCTAAAATTTTATAAAAAGTAAAAATATATGGATCTTTTATTATAAAGCATGAGGTATATTGCTGTAGTCATACAAAATTCAAGATGAAAGGACGAAATAAAAATAGGTAAGACCCTAGACTGGTTCAGACCGCCTGTGATTTTTGTTACAATTGATCTCAGCCATTTCCTTACTCTGTGGACTTGAGCAGGCTAATTAACTTCTTTAGCCTCTGATTCCTCATCTGTAAAATAGCTATTCTAATAGCACCTGCTTTGTAGGATGGCTATGAGGAGGATTACATGCTATGCTAAATATTTAGCATGATGCTTGGTGCATAGAGAGCATTCAGTAACTTCAAAATCCACTAACTGCTCTTGTTGAAGTTTAATCCTCACTCCTGAGGATTAAATTTATATTTAATCCTCAAAATGTTAGTATTATTTATATCTCACATACCTTTCACATTTTTGCTTTCATGTTAGACTGAGTCTTACGCTATCTAGGATCTGTTTTCTACCTGGAGTCATCCTCTGTTAGAGATAGCAGAGAATACTTACCAGAAGCTGAAAAGATTAGAATATATTTTCATGAAGGAAGAATTCAGAGCTGTCATGTTCTCATGTAGTCCAAACATACCCATGTTCCCATTATGACGTTTCTTCATTTAATTAATAAATTAGAAAAAAATTCTTGTTGGATGAGTTACTAATGCCCTGAAGAATTGGATTAACCACTGGTCATACTGACACTACAGTGCCATTCACACTTAAATGCAACAGCTGAAATAAGATTTAATAGAAGTCTCTATTTAATGTGGATATTGGAAGTAAACTAAATGTGGGACTGGTGAAAATCCTTAATTAGGTTTGGTTAAATATATTTTCGGTTGGCTATTTGATGTCTTTTTAATGTATACTCTTGTTATTCATATTTACAGCTAGATTTTTGCCTAATTAAACAAGGAGAACACTGTGTTGGTCAATGTATATTCCAAGAATCATTAACATGTAGCAGGGAAGTATTTATTTACAGCTCTAAAGGCTACCTATGTTGATATGGTTTAGACCTTGAGGACTGATGCCCCACAGAGGTGATTAAGTAAAGCTATGACTGTGGTCAGAGGCATATCCAAATAATAATTTCATGAAAAGTTCTCTTAACACATTAGGTTTCGGCCAGGCACAGTGGTTCATGCCTGTAATCCCAGCACTTTGGGAGGCCAAAGCGGGTGGATCACCTGAGGTCAGGAGTTCAAGACCAGCCTGACCAATGTGGAGAAACCCCGTCTCTACTAAAAACAAAAAATTAGCCGGGCATGGTGGTGCATGCCTGTAATCCCAGCTACTCAGGAGGCTGAGGCAGGAGAATCACTTGAACCTGGGAGACGAAGGTTGCGGTCAGCCGAGATTGCGCCATTGCACTCCGGCCTGTGAAACGAGCGAAACTCTTGTCTCAAAAAAAAAAAAAAAAAAAAAAAAAAAGACGTTGGGTTTCATCTTTTCTTTTTCTTTTTAAGTTTTTAAATTTAAAAATTTGGAGATTAATTATATATTATATTAAATTTACATTGAAAAATGAATATATGATGTAAACTATATAAAAATGAACACATTTACTTGAAATTTGGTTTATTCAATTGGTAAGATCAAAATTGGATAAATTAAGTTATGTAGGTGTTGTGTCTATAGGACAAAATATTTAGTTTTAAAAAATTTATGGGATAATCATAATTCTAGGTTTATGAATTATTATCATCGTTCTATTTTCAGCAAATTAAAAATAGTATGAACACTCTGGAGCTTATCCCTCAATTTATGGTCTGGAAACTTACCACCATCCCCAGCTTCTGGTAATTACCATTCCACTCTCTGCTTCTATGAGTTTAAGTTTTTCAGATCCTCATTTAAATGAGATCATGTAGTATTTGCCTTTCTGTAACTGGCTCATTTAACTTAACATCATAGCTTCTAGGTTCATCCGTGTTGTTGGAAATGACAGGGTTTCCTTTTTTTGTTACGAGTGAATAGTACACCACATTTTCTTGATTTATTCATTCATTGATGAACACAAAGTTTGATTCCATATCTTTGCTATTGTGAATAATGCTGCCATAAACATGGGAGTGCAGACATCTCTTTAACATACTGATTTCAATTCCTTGGATATATACCCAGTGGTGGGATGGCTGGATCATATGGTAGTTCTATTTTTAATTTTTGGAGTAACCTCCACACTGTTTTATATAGTGGCTGTATTAATGTACATTCCCACTAACGGTGTGCAAGGGTTCCTTTTTTTCCCTACATTCTCACCAAGCTGTTATCTTTGCTTTTTATGACAATAGCCATTCTAAGAGTATGAAGTGATATCTCACTGTGCATTTAATTTACATCTCCCCATTGATTAGTGATGTTGAGCATTTTTCATATACATGTTGGCCATTTGTAGGTCTTCTTTTGAGAAATGTGTATTTGGGTCTTTTGCCCATTTTTATTTTCATTTTTAAAATTTTTAAATTATTTTATTTTATTTTTTATTTTTATTTTTGAGATGGAGTCTCTCTCTGTCTCCCAGGCTGGAGTGCAGTGACACAATCTCGGCTCACTGCAGCTTCCACCTCCCAGGTTCAAGTGATTCTTGTGCCTCAGCCTCCTGAGTAGCTGAGACTAGAGGCACGTACCACCATGCCTAGCTAATTTTTCTATTTTTAGTAGAGACGGGGTTTCACCATGTTGGCCAGGCTGGTCTCGAACTCTTGACCTCAAGTGATCCACCCATCTTGGCCTCCCAAAATTCTGAGATTAGAGATGTGAACCAACACAGCCAGCTCCATTTTAAAATAGAATTATGTTTTCTTGTTTGAGCTTCTTATATATTTTAGATATTAGCCCCTTATTAGATACATCATTTGCAAATATTTTCTCCCACTCCATAGGTTGTCTTTTCATTATTTTATTTGTTTCCCTGACTGTACAGGAGCTCTTTAATTTGATATAATCTCATTTATTTATATTTGCTTTTGTTGACTGTGCTTTTGAGGTCATATCCAAAAAATCATTGACCAGATCAATGTCATGGAGCATTTCTATGATTTCTTTTAGTAGTTTAATAGTCTTATGTTTAAGTCTTTAATGCATTTTGAGTTGATTTTTGTATATGGTTTGAGGTATGCATGTAATTTCGTTCTTCAACATGTGGATATTCAGTTTTTCAACACCGTTTATTGAAGAGACTGCCCTGTCCCCATTGTGTGTTCTTGGCACCTTTGTTGAAAATCAATTGATTGTAAATGTATGGATTGATTTTTACGCTATTTTGTTCCATTGGTTTTTGTGTCTGTTTTTATGCCAGTATCCTGTTGTTTTGATGACTATAGGTTCACAGTAGATTTTGAAGCCAGGTATTATGATGCCTCCCGTTTTTTTTTGTTTGTTTGTTTTTTGATTCAAGGTTACTTTGGCTATGGATTTTTGTGGATCCAGACAAATTTTAGAATCGTTTTTTCTATTTCTCTACAAAATGACATTGGTACTTGGATAGAGATTGCATTGAATCTTTATTTGGGGTAGTATAGGTATTTTAAAAATACTAATTTTCCCAATCCATGAACATGAGGTATTTTTCAATTTTTGTGTCTTTTGTAATTTTAAATATCAGTGTTTTATAGTTTTCAAGTGTACAAATCTTTCACCTCCTCGGTTAAATTTGCACCTAGTTATTTTAATTAATTTATTTTTTAATTATGATTGTTTACTTAATTTCTTCTCAGATGATTGTTAGTGCATAGAAACACTACTGATTTTTGTATATTGATTTTGTAACCTGTAACTTTACTGAATTTGTTTATTTGAATAGCTTTTTTTGTTGTTGGAGTTCTTAGGGTTTTCCAAATAAAGGATCATGTCATCAGAAGAGACAGTTTCACTTCTTCATTTCCAATTTGTATGCCTTTTTTTCTTTTTCTTGCCTAACTGCTCTGGCTAGGACATTCAGTACTATGTTGAACAGAAGTGGTGAGCGTGGGCATCTTTATCTTGTTCTGGATCTTAGAGGGAAAGCTTTCAACTTTTTATCATTATGATATTAGCTGTGGGCTTGTAATATATGGCTCTTATTGTGTTGGCAAAAATAGATTCTCAGAATATAATCTCCAGATTTTGTAATCCACTGATACAATTACATACTGATTACCTACTCTGTAATATGGAATTTAAAAAATTCCATGTGTGATTTTCTAACTCTATCATAGGTCGGTAACCTCTATACATCTGGAAAGGCTAGATGTGGCAAATGTTTCCTTGTAAAAGTTTTGGGGGAAGCTGAGAGCAGCTTTCTCACATTATACACGCAGGTCTCCTATAAACGCCGGTACATCCTCCCAAAGCGTGATGGGAATCTCCAAATCGCTAAATGTGTCCTGTTACTCCGTTTCTCTTTTCCCACATCAACGTCTGGTAGAAGGAAGGCCAACTGCCCCATGGTCGCTACCATTCCACCCGTCCTCATCCGGGACTTCGCTGACCTTCCGGCCGTTAAGGCTGTTGTCTGTTGTCATCAGGACCAGGTAGGTCTCACCCAATTGGGACAGAGAGGTCCCCCGAGGACAGCATCTGCGCGGCGCCGTGGCCTAAAGAGGAGGCCAGGCCTCTCCCTAACTCCGCCTTCGCGGGCCCTGCACCCCAGCAGCCTCTGCGTGTTTCTTCCCGCCCGGCACACCCGCGGCCATCCAAAGGTGCTGTGTGCCGGCGGCCACCAGGTCACCGAGGTGGGGTGGGGAAGACAGGTTCGCCGCTGCTTCAGGCCTGGGATCTCTGCTGGAACTCTCTACATTTTTTAATCAATTTAAAATTTATAATAATGTATGTTTTTTAGGTATTGTTTTTACTGACAAATTTTATTTCTAGATCTTTCATCAGTTTTCTCACGCTGGTCAACAAATAGGCCTTCATCACACACTAATTTGTAATGTCATTCTTTTCATATTTACTGTTGTAATGTAAAACACACTAGGGTCTGTTTTGAGGCAATGTTGTTTCAATCATATGCAAATCAAACTCTTTTTCTTTTTTGAGACAGAGCCTCACTCTGTCACCCGGACTGGAATGCAGTGGCACAATCTCTGTTCACTGCAGCCTCGGCCTCCCAGGCTCACGTAATCCTCCCACTACAGCCTCCCGAGTAGCGGGGACTACAGGCACAGGCCACCACGCCCGGCTATTTGTTTGTTTTTTGTGGAGACAGGGGTGTCTCACTCTGTTGCCCAGGCTGGTCTCCAACTCCTGAGTTCAAGCTATCCTCCTGCCTAGGCCTCCCAAAATGTTGGGATTACAGGCAGGAGCCACTGCTCTTGACCCCAAATCAAACCCTTAGTAATATTTGATAGTATTTCAGTGCTGGCCAGAGCAAATCCTTGCTTATTATTCGTTTATGAAAATGGCTTGACTCTTCTAAGCTGTAATTTGACCAAATAAATCTTGAAATAAATTTGTTACAATCCAAACACAATGCAGACAATTATTTGAAATGTCTGCATTTAAATTTATATTTAAAAGTTATTTTTTGAAGAATGTGGCATGTCTCATTTTATTTGTTTTTCCCTTTTTCTTGGTAAAGATTAATAATACCTTAAAAATGTTCAACATATGTTAAGTTCATCTTTATTGATATCATTTTATTTAATTGCTCATTGCTTATTGTTGTTAGGAGAGCTATATATGTATTTTTTAAATTAAATTTTTTTTTTTAACTTTTATTTTAGGTTTAGGGGTACATATGCAGGTTTGTTACTTGAGTAAATTGTGTGTTGCTGAGGTTTGGTGTTCAAATCATTTTGTCACCCAGATAGTGAGCATAGTACCCAATAAGTAGTTTTTCAATCCTCACCCTCCTTCCTCCTGCCACCCTCAGGTAGGCCCAGGTGTCTGTTGTTCCCCTCTTTGTGTCTGTGTGTACTCAATGTTTAGCTCATACTTATAAGTGAGAACATGTGGTATTTGGTTTTCTGTTTTTGCATTAATTCACTTAGGATAATGGCCTCCAGCTGCCATCCATGCTGTTGCAAGGGACATGATTTCATTCTTTTTATGGTTGCATAGTATTCTGTGGTGTATATATGTCACATTTTCTTTATCCAGTCCACCACTGATGGGCATCTAGATTGATTCTATGTCTTTGCTACTGTGAATAGTGCTGTGATGAACATGCGAGTGAATGTGTCTTTTTGGTAGAACAATTTTTATTTCTTTGGGTATATACCCAGTAATGGGATTGTTAGGTCAAATGGTAGTTCTGAGTTCTTTGAGAAATCTCTAAACTGTTTTCCACTGTGGCTAAACTAATTGAAATTCCCACCAGCCGTGTGTAAGTATTCCATTTTCTCTGCAACCTCACTAACATCTGTTATTTTTTGACTTTTTAATAATGTCCATTCTGACTGGTGTGAGATGGTATTTCATTGTGGTTTTGATTTGCCTTTCCCTAACGATTAGTGATACTGAGCATGTTTTCATATGCTTGTTGGACATGTGTATGTCTTCTTTTGTGAAGTGTTGGTTCATGTCTTTGCTCATTTTTAAATGGGGTTGTTTTTGCTTGTTGATTTGTTTAAATTTCTTATAGATTCTGGATATTAGACCTTTGTTGGATGCTTAATTTGCAAATATTTTCTCCTATTTTGTAGGTTGTCTGTTTAATCTGTTGGTAGTTTCTTTTGCTGTGCAGAAGATTTTAAATATTTATTCTGTATATTTCTTTTTCACGGAGTCTATAGGGATTTCTAATAACATAATTTTTTTGTGTTAAAAATGGAGTGGATTCTGTTATCTTAAAATAATGATAGTTTTCTTTCTTCTTATTTTTTGGGGGATATACCTGTATTTTTCAGCTAATGTAAAACAACAGAGTAGAAACTCTAGTTGATATTTGCTCTTAAGCATTTTAGTTCAGAGGGACTAAAAGCAAGGTGCAACAAATTAAGAAGTAATGAACAGTGTCTAATGAGAAAAATAGAGTGTGTTTTGAACTAGCCTAACCCAATTTGGTCATGCTCAGCAACAGGGTCATTTTTGGTAGTTAATCATAGTGGCTGAAAAAGGTGAAGTGGGCGTATGGTTAGCATTTACCACCACAATCCTATGTCCCAGTTATGATGAAAATGACTCTGATCAAATTCTGCCATGAATATAGAGATTAGTTAACCAGACATTAGCATAAGACAGTTTATGTCATCTTCTCTGTAAATTTAATAAATCCTCAGCTCTCTGCCCTTTAAAATACTCCAAAGTACCTTGTAGAAAGGTGTATTTGAAGAAGATAAGACAACAGAGGTAGGGTTTTACTTTCATGTCAGCATTGAGAAAGTGGAACTTATCCATAGTAGGACACAGGCCCATTTAGGGAACAAGTCTTGGGCACTACCCCTAAAGTTTAGGCTACACATCTTGCTAGGTTCTTATGCCCTTCATAGAAGAATAGGGAATGTTTCTAAAATATGTTAGATGACCCTCATATATTTGGTACCACTAATTTCAGGATGATAACTGATTTAAACCTCAATTATTATGTGAGTTGGCTAGGCATCAAATGTTGACCAAGAGGTAGATAACTGAAGGTCCTGTGGTAGCTGCCTTGGAGGGCAGCCTTTCTGGCTAAATGCTAGTTGACCTCCCCATCTAATAGTGTACATTTACTGATTAGAGCCACTCATGTCCATAAAATGTTATATATATATATATTTTTTTTTTTTTTTTGAGACGGAGTCTTGCTGTCTCCCAGGCTGGAGTGCAGTGTCATGATCTTGGCTCACTGGGCTCACTGCAAGCTCTGTCTCCCGGGTTCACGCCATTCTCCTGCCTCAGCCTCCCGAGTAGCTGGGACTACAGGTGCCCGCGACCACGCCCAGCTAATTTTTTGTATTTTTGGTAGAGACGGGGTTTCATCATGTTAGCTGTGATGGTCTCGATCTCCTGACCTCGTGATCCACCGCCTCGGCCTCCCAAAGAGCTGGGATTACAGGCGTGAGCCTCTGTGCCCGGCCCATAGAATGTAATATTTGAATGAATAAATGCACTTATATCAATAGCCTGACAAAGTGTTTTAAAGTATACTACAGTTACCATGACAAAGTGTTTCTCTGAAGAAACTTGTCTATGAAGAATAATGAGATTGGTAAGAAAACATAAATAAAAAGAACTACCAAGGAACATTTCCATCCAACTGATTTTAAAGAGAATAAATTGACCTGGAGTTAATTACCTAGTAGAATTAATTTCTACACAGTGATTTGGAATTTGGGAGTACAATTAGTGAAAACAGGTACTGGAATTGCTCCAGTGTTGGGAATGGACCCACATATTCATAAATGGGTACTTATTGGTACTAGAAAATTTTCTACACAATTACTCTACATTAAATATTACTCCAGGTTTTCAGGACATGGAAGTAGCTTCTTTTTAAAAAATCCTTTTCATGTTACTTCTCCACCTAGATAGTTTCAAAAAGTGTATTATTTTTCAATTTCAAAATTTTATTCATTGAAACATAAACTTGGTCAGTTCTATTCAAGACATCAATATAAAGAGAAATCACTGAATTGTAGAAAGGTTTGTATAAATTAAATTGTAAAAGTGTGAGCTAAAAATATGCATTATTAATACAGAAAGCTTCTTAGTAATAATACCAAATATGTGCTCCTTATAATCACATGGATCAAAATTGTATACTCTTTAGTTAAGGGATGTAATGGGGAAAAATAGAAGATTGGAATTGTTTTAATTGCATCTGTGTTCTGAGGAATGGAGCAGCAGCAGCAGAAGAAAAGGTGTTCTTTTACTTAAAACAACAAATTCTATTTTCTAATGCAAGGTGAGTGTATCTTTACCCCTTATTCTAGTGTTTATAGAAGATAGAGCCAGACAAATATTTCTCTCTAAGTGATAGTGACATTATTCCTTCACAGACACTACAGTTGAAAGAATTGGAGGTCCTAGGTCAGAGACAAAGACAGATTGGAATAGAAGTTGGGACCGAAAGTAAATAAGATCTTCCAAAACATGGAGCAAGGGGGACCTAAAAAAGCAGACATCCAGAGAGCAAAGCTCTGTGGTAGGGATTGCTAAGGAATTTTAAGAAGTCAAATATTCATTAGGCAATGTTTTCCTTTTTATCCTGCAGTATAATCCTCCTTTATTATTCCCAGTTCTTTATGAAAATCCCACTAACTGCATTCCCCACTTGTTAGTGGTACTTTAGAGAATAAAAGAAAATAGGCTTGGTTCACTGGCAAGAGGACAAGAAATAGTCTTTAAGTGGAGAAGAAGCTGTTTCGTACAGTAGAAATTGGTAAGGACAGTGGCCACAGGGACTCAACTGTGAGAGGAGGTTAAAAATTTATCAGGAGCAGTATTTTAAACAAAAATCCTCAAAAATAATAGAATCCTTCTCCCATAGAAAATAATTTTCAGAAATACAATGGAGAGTGTCAGAATTTCTTCAGAAAGTAGAAAGAATTTTAAAATTTAACTTATGCAGGTTGGGCACGGTGGCTCACGCCTGTAATCCCAGCACTTTGGGAGGCCGAGGTGGGTGGATTACCTGAGGTCAGGAGTTCGAGACCAGCCTGGCCAATATGGTGAAACCCTGTCTCTACTAAAAATACAAAAGTTAGCCGGATGTGGTGGCACACGCCTGTAGTCCCAGCTACTCGGGAGGCTGAGGCAGGAGGATGGCATGAACCCGGGAGGTGGAGGTTGCAGTGAGCTGAGATTGTGCCACTGCACTCCAGCCTGGGCGACAGAGACAGACTCCATCTCAAAAAAAAAATTAACTTATGTATTAATACAAAAACCAATATCAGAAATGCCAGAGACCTGGATGAACTGATATCTATAAAAGTGATAAAATGAATCAATGTACTTCAGTAAGTTGGGTACATATTTAGACTTATAAATTATCAGCATCTATACCCAGGTATTGCTTGAAAAATGTTACCAATTAATAATTAGCTTAATTTTTACAGCATGTTTGAAAATTTGATATGCCATATCATTTTTATGCAACATACTTCAATAATACATGTCAGTAAATTTATTTAAGATATAAATATTCATTGTAAAGTAGGTAAATGTATGTACTTGCAAAGATACCCAAACACATCAATTAAAATAATGGGATTAGAATTGGATAATAAGTGCATATATATGTATTTGACCTCTAGAGGTTCCTGTACTTCAAAATTCATCACTATATGACAATTGAGTATCATAGCATCTTCTGCTTGAATCCATTTATAAGTTTTTGTTTAAGAAATGAGAGAAAATTAATAATTGTTATGAATATAAACAGATACAGTAAAAATGGCATTTCATTTTCTCTAGATATTCGTGATTCTCTGAATTTGAATAATGTATTTTTTAGATTATAGTCTTCTAAAGAAGAGAAATATTGAAAGAATTAGCTATTTACTTGCACTGAGGGGAGTCATTATGTGCATTTTCTACTATGGTTTTCTTAGTCCACCACTCCTCAAGTTATGATGGTTGACTCAGAAGGGTTGCTTTTATCTTTAATCATAAATCATTATGAATTTCCTTGTCTGAACTAGTCAACATCTACCATGTTGTGGTTAATTGGTACCAATCAGAGTTGAACTTCTTGTGGAAGAATCTGGAGATGTCCATATGAAAGGAAAATAGGCAATAAACTAGATTGTATTATATTGCATTTTTCCAACACTAGGCATATGTGGTTTTGAAAATTACCTATTTACTGAGTGTTTTGTGAGTGGCAGAAACATTTTCCTGCCCTGGCCAAGGGCTAACCTTAGAAAAAGATAAATGTGATGGGTATAAAATCTAAGAGAGCTGACTTAGTTTCAGGATATTGTTAAGCCCGTTGAGACTGGTGCTCCACAACAGTAATTAAGCATAATTATGATGCAGGTCAAGGTAAGACATTTCCGAAATTTTCTAGGACATGTTTTTGAAGGCTTGGGATATTCTGCTTAGCTCATATTTGTGTATGTTTTTTTTAGTTAAAAATGATAACAAGATGATTTTTGCTCTGTTTACAAACATTTGCATGAACACTGAAAAATTCATCCAAATCGTTAAAAATATTCAATGCCTACTAAGAGTCATGGAACCCTATTATATGATGGTGAATCGAGAAAGAACTATACAAAATTATGCTTTCAAGAAACTTATAATTACATTGGCTAGAGGCTTATCAGTTCTATAAATAATATTTACAAAACAATGCAATTCTAACCTTCATAGAGATTTGTATGGCTTGTTAAGAGAACCATAGTCTAAGACAATGGGCTTCAACGGGGGGGCACACTCTGGGATGCAGAGACTTTTGTAGGGTTATAAAGTTAGTTTTAAGGAAATAACTTCCAGATCCTCCTTGTTCCTTTGTTTTCTTCGCTAACATTTTCTTGAGGAAATGCCAGGTTGAGGAGTTAGACAGGTTCTCTTTCCAGCCTTCACTTTCAAAGATCCCTTCTCCTCCTTCACAAAAGAAAGGCATAATTACCATCTCTCCTGATCTTACTGTAACATATTATCCACATTGTGAAAACCAGTGGTACACCAAAGAAAGGGACAACTCAAAATGCTAGTGGTGTGCTGCTCATCATTAAAGATGACATGATGGAAGAGAAAATATATATTTTTAGATTCTAGCAGTGTGTCTTTCTAGATCTATCTAGATTGGCTACTATTATTAAATAATGGGCACTTTTAGAGAAAGGTATCAGATCATGGCAAAAATAAAAGTTTAATTAAAAAGTAATCACATTGTCCCATAAAAGCTAAATATTATATTATGATAAATAGAAATAAAAAGATTTATTCTGTTATGCAATTCCACTACATATAAACATTACCACATTTCTAAAAATTCACGTAAATCCGCCAGTTCCACAGATGTATGTCAAAAGCCTAACTGGTTTCAAACTAGTCATATTATCTTTCCATTAAGTTGAGACAATCATGGAATAAACATTTAACGAATGAAAGAGAAATTGATAAGACTGTGTCATTACCTTTAAAACCCTTTAATTTGTGGCTTTATATTACGATAGAGTAGTAATAGACTTAAATAGCAGAGACCCTTTACTCAAGATATCGATTTGAAATTTCATTGAAAAAAGAGTGAATTGTTTTAAATGGGGCTTATGACAATTACTGTCTTATAAACTGCACTGTTTGCATCAAACACAAATAAATATTTGGGTGGCATTACAAAAGATTGGGTGTACAAAATCATTATTGTGTATATGTATATTTTTTCTCAAGCTCCAATAGAATGAACATTATGGGTATATTATTTAATATACACACCATAATGTATATGAAACCATTTGCTCAGGTCTATACTTTGGAAGAGGCAAGGATTAACATTGAAAATACAAAACTAGATAACCAAAACAGTTTCTATGTGGTTTTAGAATAAATTAAATGCATTCAAATTTATGTTTACATCCCATTTGTGTTTTATTTCAAGCAAAAATAAAATTTCTAATGATCTGTTTTCTCTGATGATATACCAATGATCAGGGACATAAAGGAGCTAAGTAGAATGGTTGTAATTTTGTTTGCATCTACAAAATGTTTGTATATAATAATTATATTTATGGATCTCCATGACCTAGGAATTACTTGCATTTGTAAAAATTAAAGAAAATTAGAAAACATATTTAATTGCCTTATTCACTCTAGTCTTTATCTATGACTTGCAATTCCTCTTTATTTTTGTAGATTTGTGGTGAAATCTCATCAGTTTCTTCAGGGCATCCTTCATGTCCTTATTTCTTAAGGTGTAAATGAGCGGGTTGAGACTTGGAGTGATGACGGTGTAAAAGAGGGTGAGGAACTTGCCCTGGTCTTTGGAAGCCCTGTTACCTGGTTGCAGGTACATGTAGATAATAGTTCCATAGAACATAGACACTACAGTAAGATGAGATCCACAGGTATTCATTGCTTTTCGCTGGCTTGCTTTTGACTTCGTTCTCAGCACAGCTTTGGCAATGTAGCCATAGGATATAAGAATAAGGATGAGAGGTGTGAGGACAATTATAATGCCTAAAGCGAAAACAGACATTTCAACTGTTGTGGTGTCTACACAAGCTATCTTGACCAGAGCTGGCAACTCACACAAGAAATGATCCAGAATGTTGTTTCCACATGTGGGCAAATTCAGAGTGAGTGTACATAATACTACAGAATTGGCCAAACTAATACTCCAGATCATGATAATCATCTTTAGACATAGATGTGGGTTCATGACTACAAAATAATGCAAGGGCTTACATATAGCTGTAAAACGATCATAGGACATAACAGCCAGGAGAAGGCACTCAACTGAGCCCAACCACATGTAAACATAGAGTTGGATGATACAACCCACATAGCTGATGGTCTTATCAGGTCCCCACAAGTTGACCAGCATCTGAGGGATGATGCTGGTTGTGAAACATAGATCTAGGAAAGATAAATTTCTGAGGAAAAAGTACATTGGTGTATGAAGCTGGGAATCCAGGAGAGATGCAAGAATGATGGCTGTGTTACCCACCAATGTAATTAAGTAGAAGATGGCGACAACTCCTGACAGGATCATCTCCATTTTTGGATGGTTAGAGAAGCCAAGCAGAATAAAACCATGTAAAGAACTATAATTGCTTTGGTCCATAGTCCTTCAATGTCTAAATCCTAGAGTGAGAAAAGGAGGAGGAGGAGGTAGATGATGATACAAGGATAAGGAGAAGGAAGAAGAAGGAAGAAGAGGTAGAGGAGGAGAAGGAGGAGGGAGAGGAAGAAGAAAAGGAAAAGAGGAAGAAACAATTTGTCAACATGAACTATCTAAATAATTTGATAAAATTAGAACTAAACAAAGAGAGATAATTTATGTTACTAATTGAAAAAATTTAATGGATAAAAGTAAAAATTACAGCCAAGAAATCTGCTATTTGTCATAGATTCTTTTATGGCAATGAGTTTAATATTAGATTTTTTAAAAAAAATCCAGGTGACCTTGGGGAGTTCACTTTTAAACTTGAGGTCTGAATTATCTAACGTGTAGATTTGAAAGTTTGAAATAGATGCTGGTTCTAAAATGACCCTATGATTCTTTATAAGCTAGTTAGCTTGATAAAATGAACATATTCTTTTATTTGATCAGTAAATTCACCTATAAAATTTAAGTACTGGGCTAATGGTAGGATGAGGAAAAGATGTGATAACCTGGAGGATGAACCTGGGGACATCATGCTAACTGAAGTAAGCTGAAAGACAAATATTGCATGATTTCATTTATATATGGAATCCAAAAAAGTTGAACTCATAGAGGTAGAGAGTGGGGGCAGGAGATGGATGGGAAAAGGGGAGATGTTGATCAAGGGTACTAAGTTTCAGTTAGAAAAAAGGAACCAGTTTTAGTGATCTCACAGAATGGTGACTACAATAAACAATAATGCATTGTTTATTTCAAAATTACTAAGAGTAGATTTTAAGTGTTTTCACCACAAAAAATAAGTATGTTAGGTGATGGGTTTGTTAATTAGCCTGATTTAATCATTACACATTATAAACATATATTAAAACATTATATTGCACCCCATAAACATATACAATTGTTGCTTAATTAAAAATAAACCTTAAAAAAGAGTGAGGAAAGATTGTTCTTCTTTTTTCATATCTTAGTGACTAAGCACCTTTGATCTCCTAGTTTGTTATGTAGGACATCTGGTGTTTACCCTTGGACGCCTTGTCTCTCTCATTCTTAACGCCTTATCACCAAAACTGGTAAATTTGGATGCAAATATATATGCTAATTATCCTATCACTTTAAAAAATCCCTACCACCACAACCCTAATTCAAATCACTATGATTTCTTTTCTGGATTCTGGCAATAGTCTTGCATCCAGTCCTTGCATCCAGTCTTATGCCTTTACATTGTTACAACATTTGATGAAATCATGTCATCCATCTCCTTAAAACTTGTCAGCCACTTTACACTACATTTAAGAAATACTATATTGTATACTTAAAATTTTGCTAGGAGGGTAGATCTTATGTTAAGTGTTCTCATCACACGCACACACATACACAACACAATAAAGAAGGTGGGAGGAAACTGTTGGAGGTGATGGATGTATATATGGGATAGATTGTGTTGATGGTTTCACAGGTATATACTCACCTTCAAACTCATCAAGTTGTATACATTAAATCTGTACTGCTTTTGTATGTCAGTCATACTTCAATAAAGTGGTCAAAAAGCTAATATAAAACATTTGGTTAAAAAATAACAGCCATTAGCCAGGTGTGGTGGCGTACTCCTATAGTCCCAGCTACTCAGGAGGCTGAGGCGGGAGGATCACTTGAGCCCAGGAGTTTGAGGTTGCGGTGAGCTATGATTGCACCACTGCACTCCACCCTGGGTGCTGGAGCAAGATCCTGTCTCAAAAACAAACAAAACCCAGATAAATATCAAACTGGTGCTTCTTCTCTCTCTTTATATAGATGTAGTACAAAAAGTTGTGCTTTTTTTGTTTGTTATGCCATTTCAAATATGTTTTTTTGAATGTTATTAAGAAATTACTTCCAACTGTGGCCATGATTCAAAAGTGGATACATTTGTGAGACTAACCGGAGATGGTGGTTGAAATAGCCGTTTTGAGAAAATCATTTTGTGATTTCTTTAGCATTAGCTTTTCAAAAATTATGATTTGATTCTGAGTTTTGCCATTAATCAAATTGGATAGAAAGAAAAATAATTCTCTGAAAGATATTTCAAGCTGTCACACCCCATTAAAGTTCCATAATGTCTGAGCAGGGGCATCAATAATTAATGCTTATTTATTTTAACAGACTCGTTGATGTGTATAATTGTGCCTAACTTCTGAATAAAATAGGGCTTCAGTTAAAATTATATAAAAACCTGAAAATTCTTTTAAAATTAAAATCAATATTATGCTGTTAATTTCTTAACTATTTCATTATTACTACAGTCCATAAAGATTAACTCAGGAAAGAATAAAAATCCTCCTTCTGCCTATTAAAAAGTGACATAGAAAAATCTTCAAATAAATTTTCATGCACAGTATGAGATTTAGAAATGGATACATAAAATCTGAGTCCTTTATGGCTCCACAACCTTCAAGAATAAAATATTTTGCTGACAAGTTTCACAAATGGCATTAAAAAACAAAACAAAACAAAATTAAAAACAAGTATCTGAATTCTTCATTTTCAATTTAATCTATCTTTCTCGCTTTTGTTTCTGCTGGATCAATATTTATTCTCAGACTTCTGAAATAAAACCAGCCCATACAGATCTAAGTTCTTTTTCTTCTACTTTCTACAAATTGTTTTACCAATCCAGGCATACTGTTTCTCCAAGAGATTAAGGATGAACATTACTGTGATCCAGAGGGAGTTCCTTTGCCATTCTACTTCTCGACTTTTGTAGAATCCACACTATGGAAAATAGATCCCGGTTAAGCATTTTTTTCTCCAGGGCTGTAAATTTCTCATGATTTCCCTGCAGTGCCACGGAGAATTCTGCTTTTCCCAAAGTGTGTTAGGGTAGAGATTCTCAACAGGACTCCTCCTTCTCGAATATATGACTTCAAGTAAGAGGATGAAACCTGTCACAAATTCTTACTTCTTGTTCTGAGTTTAAATCAACCTGCAAGTAGGTCTTGACCATAGAGAAACATTAGGAAAAGCAACCGGATAATTCAGAATCAGAATTGAACAAAATTTCCCAGTATTACCTGAAGACTCAGATAATCAAAAAGATTATCTAAACCATTGGGACTGCATCCAATTAACTTTACTAGAGTACAGTGTCATAGAAAATGCCAGCCTAGAATTAGACCATACCCTAATATTTCACTAGGGCAGGTTTAGTAGATGTAAAAGTTATTTAATATGAAGGAAAACTATAGGACAAAGAAATAAGAAAATGTATTTTCATATTTTTTTGGTTGTGAATGTATTATAATATAAAATTTACTCTTAAATAATGTAGATTTCCAACACTACAATTATACTTAGCTACAGAAAAATCTTACCATTCAAAGCACAAATATTGATTGTGGAACTAAACTTGCTCTGAGCAGATATCATTTAAATGAGGTACCTCTAGTGGTTATCTCTGATACCCATGGTCAGAACAGTTGTATTTGAAAGAGATGTTTAATCCCCAAAGCTCTAAACAGTAAGACCAGAATCATAAGATTTACATTTTTTCTCAGTTGTTTTGGTGACCATGAGGGATGATTCAAATACTTCATTGTCTACGACAATTAGTTTTGTTATTGTCTCAGAGGTCACTATTTACACATTAAATTCTAGAGTAAGTATATACTATGAAAATTTTTGTGAGTTGGCTTATAATCATAGGTTTTAACAGCTTCCTTAAATTAAAATTACATATCAGTAATAATTGGTTTTAATAAAATACATAAGCACGAATTGGCTGCCTCATGATACATGTTCAAATGTGGATGACATTACTGATCAATAAAATAATTTTAACTATCTGCTTCTGTACGATAATCAATATATTTTACACTTGAGATATAGTATAGTGTAATGGTTAGATGGATAGATTGTGGAGCCAGACTTTCTGGGCTGAAATCCTGGTGGCTACAGTTACCAGATGTGTGAACTTGGGAAAATTACTTAACCTTCATTGCCTCCGATTTCTTATCTATAATAGGGGATATTATAATACATAATTTAAAGGGCGAATGTAAGGATTCAATAAGTTTAACATATGTAAATACTACAGTACTGGTTGGCACACAGCATCCAAATAAGTATTAACTGTTACAATTTCAATCAGTTCAGGGTGTCTGTGTGCTGCAGAAATATTTGGGGAAAGTTTATGCTGATATTTGATAAAACATCTGGAAAATACTCTCCTTATAAGCACTTCCTTTAGGATTTTATATATAATACACACATATATGAAATATATATACTATATACATAGTATATACATATGTATGTGTATGTATTCTTTATAAATGCTATAATAATGATGATAAAAAGAAACATAACATCTACTAATGGTACATTTTTGTCTATCAAGATTCTAAACATCTGAATACTTGAAACTGTTCACTTTGACTGGAGATCTCAGTTTCACTTATGTATTTTTCTCTTCCCCTTTAGTCAAATTTTCTACAGTTCTCCTTTTTCTTTTAAAAACCACTTTAAAGTTATAATTGAATTTCACAATTTCAATTCAACCATAGCAAATATTCAATTTTCATTTGAAAAACAAAAATGTATATAAATTGTCATGCCCACCCATGTTTCTGGTTTAAATACATTCCTACACAGTGACTTTTCTAGTCCCTTGCTCCTTATTCTGTGATTAAAATCCATGGGTTTGTTACTCTGGAGAAATTATAGAGAAATCCTTTGGATTTTTGAATTAATTTTTAAAAAGGTTTTCATTTGTTATCAAAAAATGGATATACCCAGCTTGTAAAGCAGATGCCCTTGCCTTAAACTTTAATATAAGACCTTTCCATACCCCTTTGAATAAATCAAGACATGTTTTCCTGTTTCCTTTTTATTTAACAATTTTTTCCCTTGCTTACTTTAGCCCTTAACTTATGGAAACCATTTAAAGTGAAGTTATTAGCAGTGCTTCCACAACTGGCCGCATATCAGAGTAACTGTATTGGCTGGCATATGTAGAAATTTTAGAAATACAGTGTCCTGAGATTCCTATGCCCTTGCCAAAGGCTCAATTCTTTTCTGTTTATACTGTGTCCCTAGATAGAATCTTAGAGTTTTAAGGATTTGAATCCCATCTACATATTGATGGCTTTCAAGTGTCTATTTCCAGTCTTCTACATTGAGCATGGAATAGGTAGTTCCAACTGCCTAATTTCATGCACAAAATTATGAGTCTAAACATAGCTAAAATAGATCTCTTGATTGCACTGAATCTGCTCTCATTCCAGTCTTCCTCATTGTAGTAAATGATATAAACATGTACCTATTTCTGGCCAGAAACCAGTAATTAAGGAGTTATCCTTAATTACTAGCCTGCCCTCATCTTGAAAATCTGAATGATTCCAAGCTCGACTTCTCTCCATTTCCAGAATGACTAACAAACTGGGCCACCCTATTTTTCCTGGATTACCCAATGGATTACTATCTTGTTTCTCTGCTTTAATTCATTCCCCTTTCAATCTATTCTCCATATGGCGGCCAAAAGCGTTCTTTAAAAAAACCACACGTTGGCTGGGCGCGGTGGCTCACGCCTGTAATCCCAGCACTTTGGGAGGCCGAGGCGGGCAGATCACCTGAGGTCAGGAGTTCGAGACCAGCCTGATAAACATGGAGAAACCCCGTCTAACAATACAAAATCAACAATACAACAATACAAAATTAGCCGGGTATGGTGGCGCATGCCTGGAATCCCAGCTACTCTGGAGGCTGAGACAGGAGAATCGCTTGAACCCGGGAGACAGAGGTTGCTGTGAGCCGAGATCGCACCATTGCACTCCAGCCTGGGCGACAGAGCGAGACTGTGTCTCGAAAAAACAAAAAACAAAACCCAAGAAAACCAAAACCACAAATCAAGTATTTCCATTTGCCAATTTGAAATCTTTTTAGACTTCCTATGCACTTAACTATAAAATTCAGACTCCTTACCAAGAACTACCAGATGCACCTTGCCTGGCTCCTTTTCATCCCTCCCTCCTTCTCCCATTCGTCTCATGCCTTTGTCATTCCAGGGTTGCAGGTGTTAAAGTGTCTTTGCATTGAATTTCATTGGCCTGGCAGATTCTGTCCCCAAATTGAACTCCTTGTTTGTAATCGTTTTTCAGATATAATCTATTCAACGAGATCTTCCTTGACTACTTAATCTAAATTAAAATCCCTCCTCCCCAGCTAATCTCTATCACATTTCCATGTGTTTTTCGTAGCACTTATCACTCTAAATTTTGTTTTTTTTAAATGTATCTCCCCACAATTAAAACCTAAGATCCAAACGAATATGGATCTGATCCCCCTTTTTTGCCACGTAACTGAATGAATCAATTCAACAAATTTGATTAGCAATAGAAATATAGCAAACAACTAAATAGACAAAACAGTAAAGTCCCTGACTTAATGGAGCTTACTTTTATTTGTGAAAACAAGCTCATCAGCCAAATTATATATAGTGTTTTATTTGTTCATTGCTTTTTTTTTCTTTCTTTTTTTATATAACATCCCACCAAATAGAAACATTCTCTCTTTAGGAATAGTGTTCCGTGTAGATGTTGATTTCTTACTATGCAATTTTACGGACATTGTCTTCCAATATTTCCGTAGACTAATTGGTCAGGACCTGATAGCCCTGTGATAATGCTGCACTCAGCATTCCTTGATGATGCTATATTAGCTTCCAGTGGCTGTTTGGTGCCTGGAAGGGAGTCTAGCATGTAACAGGGATCAATAATTGTTTGTTGACTATAAAGCAGTTAGAACAATATCTGATGTGTATATTAAATATCCCATTCAGTCAAGGTTATCTAGGGTGATATATTCAAGAAATATAATGCTAACTCATTTATGTGGTGATGGAGATCCGTGT
Source organism: Homo sapiens (assembly GCF_000001405.40). Lineage (NCBI taxonomy): Eukaryota > Metazoa > Chordata > Mammalia > Primates > Hominidae > Homo > Homo sapiens. The sequence continues at coordinate 317,726 of NT_167244.2, forward strand.
TTAATGATATTGATCATCAAATAGCCTGGATAAAGAGTATGTTCCCAGAAGAAAGAGATTTCTGAGACTGCTTTTATGTTATCCTTTACATTTCTATTTTTTGACTCTTTTTTTTTTGGCTTTTGGCTTTTGGGTCTCACTCTGTCACCCAGGCTGAAGTATAGTGGTGTGATCATGGCTCATTTTGGCCTCAAACTCTTGGGCTCAAGCAATCCTCCCATTTCAGTCTTTCCAGTCACTGGGATTAATGGTGTGTGCCACAAAACTTGGCTCTGTTTGATTTTTTTTTTTTTGGTGGACCATATATTTTACCAAAATATCTGAAATATTGTAAATGATATTTTTTGAAATATCGGAAAATATTTTTGGTATATTTTGGGGAAAAATACAAAACCAAAACAATCTACCTATTTACCTTCTCGTGAACTTATGAAATCAAATATTTTAAGCCTTATTTTCCCCAAACCGTATATGATTCTCTCAATAGTTGCAGAAAAATCTTCTGATAAAATCCAACACCTCTTCATGTTAAAACCCTCAATAAACTAGGTATCCAAAGAACATACTTCAAAATAATAAAAGCCATTTATTTCAGTCCCACAGCCAACATCATACCAAATAGGTAAAAGCTGGAAGCATTCCCTTTAAGAACTGGAATAAGACAAGAATTCTGACACTACTCTTATTCAACGTAGTACTGAAAATCCTAGCCAAATAAATCAGGCAAGAGAGAGAAATAAAAAGCATCCAGATAGGAAAAGAGGAGTCAAATTATGCTATGATTCTATGACTAGAAAACCCCAAAGACTCTGCCAAAAGGCTTCTAGACCTGATAAAACAACTTAAGTCAAGTTTGAAGATACAAAATCAATGTAAAAAATCAATAGCATTTCTATACACCAATAATGTTCAAGCTGAGAGCCAAATCAAGAATGTAATTCCCTTTAAAATACACACACACACACACACACACACACACACACACACACAAAATCTAGGAATACTTCTAACCAAGGAAGTGAAAGATTTCCACAAAAAGAACTACAAAGCACTGCTGAAAGAAATCATAGATGACACAAACAAATGGAAAAACCTTCCATGCTTATGGATTGGAAGAATCAACAACATAAACAAAATGTCTAAATTTTACCGCCTAAAGCAATCTACAGATTCAACACTATTCCTATTAAATTACCAACGTCATTTTACACAGAACTAGAAAAAATGATTCTAAAATTACACGGAACCAAAAAAGAGCCCAAATAGCCATAACAATCCTAAGCAAAAAGAGCAAAACTGGAAGCATCACATTACTGGACTTCAAACTATGCTACAAGTCTACAGTAATCAAAACAGCAAGGTACTGGCACAAAAATAGGCACCTAGACCAATGGAACAGAATAAAGAACCCAGAAATAAAGCAGCATACCTACAACCAACTGATCTTGAACAAAGTCGACAAAAATAAGTAATGCAGAAAGGACTCCCTATTCCATAAATGGTCCTAGGAAAACTGGCTAACTATATTCAGAAGGATGAAACTTAACCCTTACCAAGCACCATATACAAAAATTAATTCAAGAAAGATTAAAGACTTAAATGTAAAGCCCCAAACTATAAAAATCCTGGGGAAAAAACTCAGAAATACCCTTTTGGACATTGGCCTTGGCAAAGAACTTATGACCAAGTCCTCAAAAGCAATTGCAACACACAAAAAATTGACAAATGGGACTTAATTAAACCAAAGAGCTTCTGCACAGCAAAAGTACCTATCAACAGAATAAACAGACATCTTACAGAATGGGAGAAAATATTTGCAAACTATGCATCTGACAAAGGACTAATATCCAGAATCTATAAGGAACCTAAACAAATCAACAAGAGAAAAACAAATAACCCCATTAAAGAATGGGCAAAGAACATGAATGGACAATTCTCAAAAGAAGACATAAAAGCAGCTAACAAACATATAAAAAATGCTCGAACACTAATCATTAGAGAAATGCCACTCAAAACCACAATGAGATACCATCTTGCACTAGTCTGAATGGCTATTACTAAAAAGTAAAATAATGACAGATATTGATGAGGCTGCAGAGAAAATGGAACACTTTTATACTGCTGGTGGGAATGTAGATTAGTTCAGCCACTATGGAAAGTAGTTTGGGAATTTCTCAAAGAACTGAAAATAGAATTACCATTCAACCTAGCAATTCCATCACTGGGTATGTGCCTCCCACCCAAATAAATTGTTCTACCCAAAAGACACATGCATTCACATGTTCATTGCAGCACTATTCACAATTGCAAAGACATGGAATCAAGCTAGGTGCCCATTAATGGTGGATTGGATAAAGAAAATGTGGTACATATACAACATGGAATGCTACACAGCCATAAAAGAGAACGAAATAATGTCCTTTGAAGCAATATGGATGCAGCTGGAGGCCATTATCCTTAGCAAATTAATGCAGAAATAGAAAACCGAACACCACATCTTCTCACTTGATTTAAAATTTAAGGAGATAAATCCTGGGTACATACAGACATAAAGATGGAAACAGTAGACACTAGGGATTCCAAAAGGAAGGAGAGGAGGAGAGGAGCAAGGACTGAAAAATTTCCTATTGTATACTATATTCACTGTCTGGGTGACAGGATTAATATAAGCCCAAACCTCAGCATCACACAATATACCCTTGTAATAAACCTGCCCATGTATCCCCCTGAATCTAAACTAAAAATAGAAATTTAAAAAACCCCTTTTTCATAGTAATCATAAAATATACACTTATGCAATTTATGAAAATAATATAGTTTTACCTCTGTTCTTTTCACTGCAGCTTTGTGAAGGTATAATTAACAAGTAAAAATTGCATACACTTACTATGTGTATGATGTTTTGACATATGTATATATTGTGAAGTGATTACCACAAACCAGCTAATTAACCTATCCATCAGCTGACATATTTTTTCTTGTTTTGTGGTGAGAATATTTAAGATCTACTCTCTTAACAAATTTCAAATATTAAATACTGTATTGTTAACTATATTCACCATGCTGCATATTAAATCCCCAGAACTTGTTCGCCTTATAACTGAAAGCTTGTACCTTCTGACCAACATCTCCCTATTTTCCCCTCCCCCAGCTTTTGGAAACCACCATTCTAATTCTATTCTCTGTTTCTGTGAATTCAGCTTTTTAAGATTTCATGTATAAGTGAGTTCATATCGTATTTGTCTTTCTCTGATTCATGTATTTTACTAAGCATAATGCCAACAAGGTTGATCCATGTTGTTGCAAGTGGCAGAATTTCCTTCTTTTTGATGGATGCTTGGTTTGTTTCCAAGTGTTGGCTAATGTGAATGATGCTACATTGAACACAAGAGTGCATATATCTCTTTGACATACTATTTTCGTTTCCTTTGGGTATATACCCAGCAGTGGGATTGCTGGATAAGATGGTAGCTCTAGTTTTGATTTTTGAGGAACCTCCATACTGTTTTCTAAAATGGCTGTTCCAATTTACATTCCCACCAGTAGTGCATAAGGATTCCCTTTCTTTCTGAATCCTTGCCAATACTTGTTATCTCGTCTCGATAATAGCCATCCTAACATGTTGGCTGATCTCATTGGGGTTTTAATTTTCATTTCTCTCATGAATAGTGCTGTTGAGCATTATCATTATTTCACGTATCTGTTGGCCATATGTATGTCTTCTATTGAGAAATGTCAGCTCAGGTCCTTTGGCC